>NC_000006.12:156737456-156888971 GCF_000001405.40 Homo sapiens
GTCAGGAGAGCTTTAAATGGGAAAAAAATAGGTTTCAGAAACTTGACTGCATGTTAAATACTGTGCATTTGAGTTATCATGACTATCATTGATTACTTCTCTGGTTAAGTGGGTAGGAACAGCATAAACATGAAGCATAGACTTGCTTGAATAGATGATAGGAAAGCAAATGACAGGTGTATGGACAGCAGGTGCATTAAAGGTCCATGAAGGTATCAGTGACTTCGCAGTTATAATACAGCCACAAAGATGAAGACTTTTTTCTTGCTTTTCAACTTACAATTATATATGTATGTGTATGTATATACGCATACATATATAACTTATAATTATATGTGTGTATTATATATGCATGTAAATACATATATATAAAATACATCTATTGTTTCTGAAACCATGAACCACTACATACATCACACTGATGTCCTTAAATCTGGAAAAAAAATCTCTGATGATCGTTTCATGACATTATTGAAGGTTATTTATTCTAAAATTAATTTATTCTTCTACCCACAACATAACCTTTTTTTAAAAAAAGGCTGTGACAAATTTATTAGCTACTAACTCATATAATTTCTTTGGCCTTGCTCTACAAAGACAAATTTACTTCTAGCATGTTAGAAAAATACCTACTACTTCTAGTGCACACAATTAGAAAGCAAACACAGTAGATACACATGACATGGAAAGCCTCCCTTCCTTCTACCAGGTCATGAAAGTGATGGATACAACAAAACAACAAACTCAGACATTGTCTGAAACTGATACCAGACTGGGCCACATATTGAGAGGTCTGAATTTATAATATTTGCTTGGAAACCTAATCCTAAATCCACTGTCTTGGAATAGGACACTAAGCAAATAAATTAACATAAAAATAGATCCAAAGACTTTGAAACCTTTGAATCTGATAGAAGCAAATGCAAAAGAACTCTGTGAGGTTACTTTCAAAACATAGAGGTCAGAAGCTGTATTAATTGGCTAGGGCTGCCATAACAAAATACCATAGACTGGATGGATTAAACAATACAATTTTATTTTATTTATTGTCTCATAATTTTAGAAGTTGGGGAGGCCAAGATCAAGGTATCAGCAGGTTAGATTTCGCCTGAGGACTCATTTCTTGACTTATAGAGGGCACCTCATTGTATCTTCACGTGGCCTTTTCCAGAGCAGACACATCTCTGGTGTCTCTTTCTTTCTTTCTTTCTCTTTCTTTCTTTCTTTCTTTCTGTCTGTCTGTCTGTCTGTCTGTCTGTCTGTCTTTCTTTCTTTTCTGATGGAGTCTCGCTCTGTTGCCCAGGCTGGAGTGCAGTGGCGCAGTCTTGGCTCACTGCAACGTCCACCTCCTGGGTTCAAGTGATTCTTCTGCCTCAGTTTCCTGAGTAGCTGGGACTACAGGCGCACGCCACCACGCCCAGCTAATTTTTGTATTTTTAGTAGAGACGAGGTTTCACCATATTGGCCAGGCTGGTCTCAAACTCCTGACCTCGTGATCCGCCTGCCTCAGCCCCCCAAAGTGCTGGGATTACAGGTGTGAGCCACTGCACCCAGCCTCTCTTTCTCTTTTCATGAGGATACCAGTCACACTGTATTAAGTCCCCACTCTATTTTTTATTTATTTATTTTTCTTTTTGAGATGGAGTCTTGCTCTGTGGCCCAGGCTGGAGTGCAGTGGCGCAATCTCGGCTCACTGCAAGCTCCGCCTCCCGGGTTCACGCCATTCTCCTGCCTCAGCCTCCCGAGTAGCTGGGACTACAGGCGCCCGCCATCACGCCCGGCTATTTTTTTTTGTATTTTTAGTAGAGACGGGGTTTCAGCGTGTTAGCCAGGATGGTCTCGATCTCCTGACCTCGTGATCCGCCCGCCTCGGCCTCCCAAAGTGCTGGGATTACAAGCGTGAGCCACCGCGCCCGGCCTTTTTTTTTTTTTTTGAGATGGAGTTTTGCTCTTGTTTCCCAGGCTAGAGTGCAAGGGCACGATCTCGGCTCATTGCAACCTCCACCTCGCGGGTTCAAGCAATTCTCCTGCCTCAGCCTCCCGAGTAGCTGGGCTTACAGGCATGTACCACCACTCCCGGCTAACTTTGTATTTTTAGTAGAGATAGGGTTTATCCATGTTGGTCAAGCTGGTCTCGAACTCCCGGCCTCAGGTGATCCGCCTGCCTCAGCCTCCCAAAATGGTGGGATTACAGGCGTGAGCCACCATGCCCGGCCCCAGCCCCACTCTTACGACCTCATTTAACCTTAATTACCTCTTTAAAGGCTCTATCTCCAAATCTGATCACATTGAATGTTAGGGCTCTGTACTTTTGTGTTCTCCAAAGAAACAGAACCAACAGAATATATATGTATAAATAATGAGATTTATTTTCATATGTATATGTATATATGGAAAGTGATTTATTGTAAGGCATTGGCTCATGTGATTATGCTGACTGAGAAGTCCCATGATATGCCTTCTGTAAGCTGGAGCCCCAGGAAGGCCAATTGTGTTGTTTAAGGGCTTGAGAGCCACAGAACCAATGGTAAAGATTCCAGCTGAAGTCTAAAAGCCTGAGAACAAGGAGTGTCAAGGGCAGGAGGTTGATATCCCAGCTTAAGCAATCAGGCAGAGAGAGAATTTAACCTTCCTTCATGGTTTTCCTACTGAGTTCCTTAGTGAACTGGATGATGTCCACCTTGGGGACTAAAGTAGATGGGAAGGCCATCTACTTTACTCAGTTCACCAATTCAAATGCTAATCTCTTTTGGAAACACCCTCAGGGACGTGCCAGAAATGATGTTTAACCAACTATCTGGGCATTCCATGGCCCAGTCAAGTTGACATATAAACTTAACCGTCACAGGCTTCAACAGATAAACAGGGTTGTGGAGAGGGACACAGTTCAGTCCATAACAGAAACCTTTCTCTAAAAAACAAATTAAAGCACTGAAGATGAATACAAAACAACCACCACAAAAAATGTTATAAAGTACACAAGGAATGAAACTACCATTAAAAAAAAGTCATTGGAGGCAAAAATAAAGAGAATTAGCACCAAAACAACTACAGATAACAGAACAAAATAAAAAACACTCTGAAGTAGTATGCTTAAAATGAGTAAAGAGATTTTTAAAGAAAGTGAAAACATAATGAAACAATAGGACACTATGAAAATAAAGAGTAGGCAAATTTGAAAAGACATAGAATGTCTAGAAATGAAATTTATAGTCCTGGAAATGTTAATGGATATGTTAAATAGCACATTAGACACATCTAAAGAAAAAATAAGCAAACTGGAAGATATATATGAGGAATTTGCCCATAATGAAGTATGCAAAGAAAGAGAAGAGATTAAAAAGTGGCTCAGAAATAAGGAAGATAAAATGAGAAGGTCCAACATATGTCTAATATGTCTCAAGGAAACACTGGAGAGAGCAGAAAATGGGATGATAATTTTCTGTAATGAAATACAAGAGTCTAAAACGTGAGGAAATACACTGATTCCCAGGCAGGAAAAATAGACAAGTGAAGTATATATCTAATTTGAGAAAAATTCAACAATTTCAATGTTTCCCACAAAAGAAATCTCAATAGACAACACAAAATTGATTACATATAGAACACATTCTCTGGTCATAATGCAGTAAAATTAGAAATTAATAACAAAATGATAGCTGCTTGGAAAATGAAAATGACCATGGTATCAATAAAAAGGGTCTGAAAAAAACACAAACTACATTAAAGCATGAATTGAATCTTTTTAACTATTTTTTCACCCATATATATATATATATATATATATAAATTATATATATTTCTTATATATATATATATATATAAGAAAACAAATTTTTAAGGTACTGTATATGGCATATAGCTGTACCTGATTATTTATAATTCTGGTTTTTTGTTTTTTGTTTTTTGAGATGGAGGCTCGCTCTGTTGGCCAGGCTGGAGTGAAGTGGTGCGATCTTGGCTTGCTGCAACTTCCACCTCCAGGTTCAAATGATTCTCCTGCCTCAGCCTCCACACCATGCCCAGCTAATTTTTGTATATTTGGTAGAGACAGCATTTCACCCTGTTGGTCAGGCTGGTCTCAAACTCCTGACTTCAGGTGATCCACCTGCCTCAGCCTCCCAAAGTGCTAGGATTACAGGCGTGAGCCACTATGCCCAGCCTATAATTCTGGTTTTATAAGCAAATAATTTTCCTTTGCTTCATGGCTATTCCTCAGAGTACTTTGTTAACTTCTGTCTGATTTTGATACTAGAGGACTACATTTTGTTGGTACTTTACAAAGTGCTTTTGCATACATTCCTGTCATCCTCTAATTTCCCCCTCTTGGTGATGTAAATGAGAGATGCATTTATGACATCCTTAACTTAACTAGAATGCAAATCACTTAGCAATATGCAAATGAATGAATACTGCTAGAGTCAGAAATTTCTTGTAAGTGATTTTTACTTCCTGTTACAGCATATAGAGACTTCATTCAAGTATGCCCAGTGAGTACAGACTTACAGTGGAAAATTACTGACATTAAGGATTGAAGAGCTTGAAGACAGTATTCTCCCACTAGTATTAAGTATTAGATACACAATATAATAGATTTGTTAATTGATTTAAGAAAAGAACAGTCTGAATAATCCTAAGATATTTAATAATAAAATGTAACAGAAACATTGTATATAGAAAAACATTGTTTCCTTTAAAAATGTGACAGTGCCCAGGCACGGTGGCTCACACCTGTAATCTTAGTACTTTGGGAGGCTGAGAAGGGAGAATCACTTGATGCCAGGCCAGTTCAAGACCAGCCTGGTCAACATGATGAGACTTATCTCTCCAAATTTTTTTTAAAAAATTAACCAGGCGGCTGGGCACAGTGGCTCACACCTGTAATCCTAGCACTTTGGGAGGCCGAGGCAGGCAGATCACTGGAGGCCAGGAGTTCAAGACCAGCCTGGTCAACATGAGGAAACCCCATCTCTACTAAAAATACAAAAATTAGCCAGGTGTGGTAACGTGCACCTATAGTCCCAGCTACTCCGGAGGCTGAGGCAGGAGAATTGCTTGAACCCAGAGGGCAGAGGTTGCAGTGAGCAGAGATCGCGCCACTTCACTCCAGCCTAGGAAAAAGGGTGAAACTCCATCTCAAAAAAAAAAAAAAAAAAATTAACCAGGCGTGGTGGCACACTTCTGTAGTCTCAGCTAGTCAGGAGCTAAGGCCAGAGGATCCCTTGAGCCTGGGAGTTCAAAGTTACAGTGAGCTATGATTGCACCACTGCACTCCAAATTTTGATGTTAAGACCTTCTACTAAGGATTATGTTCATGTCATTTCTTTAATAAATAACCCATAGTGAGCTGGGCGCGTTGGCTCACACCTGTAATTCCAGCACTTTGGGAGGCCAAGGCGGGTGGATCACTTGAGGTCAGGAGTTTGAGACCAGCCTGGTCAACATGGTGAAACCCCTTCTCTACTAAAAATACGAATAATTAGCTGGGCGTGGTGGCGAGCTTTTGTAATCCCAGCTACTCGGGAGGCTGAGACGGAAGAATTGTTTGAACCCAGGAGGCAGAGGCTGCAGTGAGTCGAGATCGTGCCACTGCACTCCAGCCTGGGCGACAGAGCGAGACTCTGTCTCAAAAAAATAAACAAATAAATAAATAAATAAAATAACCCATAGAGGTCTGCTTGGGGAATATTTTCATTTCTGAACGTGTCTGTAGTGAACTTTGGTTGATACTCCAGACAAGCAGGCAGCTGTGTCAGGAAACGTTGCATAGGCCTGCTAGGATTCACAAGCCCAGGCGTAACCAAATGGCAAAGCATTGAACAAATAATTCTGACAGTTTTTAGTGCTGATTTTTTGTTATGTTACTGACGTGTCTGCTGTCCTTTTTATCTATGTTGAGCTGAATATTTCTGCCTGGAGACAACCTTGACATAAACTCTTTCTATTCACTGGCTTCCCCAAGAAATCCAATCAGTTCAATATCCTTAAAGATTTACTGAAGGCTGATGATGGCATCACAAGGGGTTACATCTCACACTGTGCAAACTTTCACCTCCAGGCCTGTTGAACATTTCTTACTTTATCCTTTCTCCCAGGTCCCCAGGCATCAGGAGTCACCTTTTCTGGGACACTCACCAGCACAGCCTCACTGCACTCTTATTCCTCCAGGACTTTCTCCAAGGGGAACTTGTCACCTGCCCTTCGGCCCTGCACTATTAGGAGAGTAATTCAGTCATCCAGCCTAATTTTCTTATTTTATCACGGCATCCTGTAAACTGAAGGCTCTCCAGCTACAAGAATGTATCCTCAGAGAGCAATGAGGGCTACAACCAACAATCATTCTGTTACATAAACAAAAAATTCTTTATTAAACTACCAGTACTGACATTTCCCCCCAAACCATCTTTGCCTTATAAATAAATCAAAATGTAAAATGGAGTAACTTTTAAAGAAATACAATAATCTAATAACAGATTGGTTACATTCCCAATCTGTTAGTATATCTTGACTAAAACTTGGATTTATTTTGGGGTAAATAAAAACTTCAGCATTAAATCCCTTCAGATTTGGGGCTTCTGAGTAGTTTCCAAGCTTGGTGAATATCTAAGGATTTTAGAACATCCTGATATGTCTTTACTCAGATTCCAAATGCTTTTTAATTTAGCTGTTATCTAAGTTAATCTCAAGAGGTGGCCAATAGATATTTGTTTAATAAATGAAAAGATCTGTATATGTTATCACCTCCAGATAATCCTTATATCAAAAGTTTGCCTAACTTCTGATATGTTTACTTTTTTAAATTTAGTCAAAACCAAAATACATTGATCTCCCTTGACCAAAAAAAGAAGAAAAAATAAATATTAATAAAATAACATCATACATTATAATAAATCTACTTTGCAATGTTAAAATAATGTATTAAGTAGCCTTACTTCACTTGTATTTAAATATAAACTGAATATGCAGGCCAAGCACAGTGGCTCACGACTGTAATGTCAGCACTTTGGGAGGCCGAGGCGAGCAGATCACTTGAGATTGGGAGTTCAAGACCAGCCTGGCCGACACAGTGAATCCTCATCTCTACTAAAAATACAAAAATTAGCCGGGTGTGGTGGTGGGTGCCTGTAATCCCAGCTACTCAGGAGGCTGAGGCAGGAGAATTGCTTGAACCCGGGAGGCAGAGGTTGCAGCGAGCTGAGATTGTGCCATTGCACTCCAGCCTGGGGGACAGAGCAAGACTCCATCTGAAAAAAAAAGAAAAAAATAAATAAACTAAAAATGCTAGCCTAGCAACGTATTACTTTCTCTGTAATATATTTAATTATATTTGATTTTAATTTAGTTACTTTATTACTATGACTGCAATTGTCTAGCCTGTTTGGTTTGAGGAATTATTTATTTCTTAAATTAGTCCACTAATTACCTAATTAATGGTTTTAAAAAAAATAAGCCATTGAGCATCTAAAACAATTTGGAACCTGAAACAGTGGTTTGTAAACATAGTTAAATAGTTACTTCCATATAAAATCCTAGACTCATAAGTTCATAGAATTTTAGGGGTTAAATCATAGAATGATGTGATTCTCAGAGATTTAGAAAAATTAAAGAATTTCATTTCACATAAACCAGCATTTAGTATTTAGGCTATTTCATCCAGCATTATTGTCACTAATTTTCCTACTCAAACTGTTTCAGAGATAAGACTTTTGTGAGCATTAGTTAAGTCAAGGTGAAGACATAGCTGCTGATAAACTGTGTGTACAGTGATCTGAGTCTTTGGCAATGACCTTCCTATAGAATTGTGTATGGAATCTAATGGTGATTAACTTTTAAGTCAAACTTTGGTGCCCTCAAAAAATACAACATTTCAGAAGATATGTGAGATAATTTGGAAAAGAGGATGTGAGTAAAGAGGGAATTTGGAATATGTCCTCTAAAGAGGACATTGCCATAGAAATGATAAAGAAAAAAATTGGCAAAGTAATTAAGAACAAAGTTCTGAGCAAAGCTTGAAATCTCCATGAATGTTCTATGTCTTATATTCTTAATTTATTTTATTCTAAAGGTTTCATGAGACATGAAGATGGTCATCGTTATTCTTTGACTTTTCATTGTTCTTTCCGAATTTTTTTCTTCTTTCTGAATATAAATCTATCTTGGAGGTAATGACTATGTATTAAAGTTACATCAAACAACTATTTTAAGATTACATCAAATAGAAGAATGCATTTTCTTTGGAAAAATTGATTAAATCCAGTTTCTGTAATGAAAGATTTAAATAGGAATGATTTTAAATCAAATTTCTCCTGGATAAGGAGTCTACTGATAAAACTAGGACTATTCTTTTAAATGGATTATTTATTATACATTCTTGAGAAAACATTTTTTATTTGTATGACAAGGTGTTAATTTCCTTAATATCCAAATGTTCTTACACATTAATTAAAAGGTAAACAAGTCAATTTAAAAATAATAGATAGTTTTGTTTGTAGGGAAAAAAACCTGACCAATAAAAATATGCAAAGTTCAAACTCATTTATAATTGAAGATATGAAAATTTCTAAAATTGAGAAATGAATTTTCCTCTTTCATATTGCCAGTGATGAAAACATTTGTTGCAAGTGGGAAATCTGCCCTCTCTGGTACCATTACTAGGAGTGCAAGTTGATAAAACCTCCTTCCAGAGCAATTTGGCAGGATGTATTAAACGTTAACCTATAAATTTTACTTTTAAATTGAAATAACACATCTTTTGATCTTCCAGTTCCATTTAGAAATTTATCCTATGGTTTTTTACACATGAACAAGCATAATCATCACATTGGTTTTTTTTTTTTTTTTGAAATGGAATTTCACTCTTGTCGCCCAGGCTGGAGTACAATGGGGTGATCTCAGCTCACTACAACCTCTGCCTCCCAGGTTCAAGCAATTCTCCTGTCTCAGCCTCCTGAGTAGCTGGGATTACAGGTGTCCATCACCACGCTGGGCTAATTTTTGTATTTTTAGTGGAGATGGGGTTTCACCATGTTGGTCAGGCTGATCTTGAACTCCTGACCTCAAGTGATCTGCCCACCTCAGCCTCCCAAGTGCTGGGATTACAGGCATGAGCCACCGCACCCAGCAACATTGTTTTGTAAATAACCAAAACCCAGCTGAAGGTCCAGCAGTCAGGATCTCGTGTCTTCTATGTCACGGATATCTCTGCTTAAAGGGAGGAGATGGAGCTATATGTACTGGTAGAGAAAGATGTCCAAGATAAATTGTTTTGTGCAAAAAAAAGCAAGCTGGAAAACAATATATAATATAACCCTATTTGTCTAAAATAAATAAATGTTTTACTGAGGAGTTGAAGAGTGAGAAGTACTTTTGCTTTATACATTGTTCTATCACATACCATTTCTTTTCTTTTTTTCTGGTTTTGTGGTTGTTGTTGTTCTGTTGGGTTTCTTTGTTTGCTTGTTTGTTGCCATAAGCATGTATAATTTTTTATATAATTTATAGCTTATGGTGAAAGTCATTTTTACCTAGATTCAATATTTGGTTTCAATGTCTCTCAGTCTTCTGGGAACCACAATATATGCGCTTTTAGGAACTAGAGTAGGAATATTATCAGTCCCTTTTTTTTTTTTCATTTCTCCCCCGTGGCATTCCTGGTGGAGAGGCTCTTGTTTAACACTTGACTAAAGAGAGAAAGATGCCTCTGAGGTCAGAGAGGATGCTCAGAAAATTAGCATCACTGGGTCTGAGGGCCAAAGTGGGCTTTAAAAACAAAAGTTAAATGTGCTTTTATTAAAAGAAAAAAAAAAACCCTACACTTACATGCAGCACTTTTTTATTTCCTCTCATACAGTCTCACTTAACAGCCATTAATTACAAGTAAGGGAAGGCAGAGAGGAATTAATGGCACAAAAAGAAACGAACATTTTTAAGCTCTCTTTTGTGGGGTAGACCTATTTCCAAATAACTCTTCCAATTCTAAAAAGCAGCAACAACAAGAACCCAAAGTATTTTGCTTCACATCATGTAGATGTCAGTTATATGGTGAGAAAAAAATAAAATATTCATGCTACAGGAGAGTGGCTTTTGCAGACTGAAAAGCAACTGTGATGCACTTAGAAATGCTTATTTCAATGAGATTTTCTGCTATCAGTCTCAGTACATTGAAAGAAATAAAACAGCAGAGAAATAGGTTGTCCCAATAGCTGTTTTATTTATTCCTCTTATTTTCCTATTTGATCAAATTTTCTTGCAAACTCCTTTGTAGATTAAAGTTTATTTTAGTAGGCAATACCTTGGTTAAAGCTGCTTTGCAATAAGGAGGAGGATGGATTAAACTGCCCTCTTCCTAATTGCTTTGTGAAGCCTTCCTCTCTCCCTAATCTCACTGTAGTTTCTTAAGAAATGAGGCACTTACATATCCCAAGGGCTTAAACGGAGATTTCTGCTGCAGCGGGTAAAGTAGGGAGTTTGCTGCATTAATCATTGAGTAACATCAATCACGCATCCACTTGGGCAGTTAAATTTCTGTTGAACAAAGTACAGAAGTACCTGGGGTATGTCTCCCCCTCTTTATAAGTGGTGTCATTAGACATCTGTTGTGAAGACTGTAAAAATAGATTTCAGATGCAAACAATGTCATTTTAATGCTAACACAGTGCTAGGCACATAGTGAGTAATATTCTATGAAAAGTATTGAGTAAATAAATTAAATTCCATATTAAAGTATTGCACCAATTCCCTAACCAGACTATTAACTACCTCCTTACTCCAAATTTGTCCATTGCAGCAGGAATATCTTTTTTAAGCATCATTTCTATTTCAGACTCATTTTTAGAAGACACAATAGGTCTAAATTTTTGCTCACATAAAACCTATATTGATGTTTCATCTTGAAAGGTTTTCTAGCAATTGGTTTCCTTCTCCCTCATTCCTCTTTTAAAAGATAATTGTATATTCACATGATCTTTGCTAGCCTAGAGCACATGCGAATTTGCTTCGTGATTTGCTTTCTCTAATCCAAATGCCATTTCTGCCATCTGCAATGCCTTTCACCATCTCCTTTACCACTCCAGATCAATCCCATTCTGCTCTTATTGTCACTTGTCCTCTCAGCCAACTTTGCAGAATTCAAGTACAGAACAGTGTATTTATAGTAATAAAGTATGGGGAGTTTTATTTCTGTTTTACTTGACTTTATGTCAACCCCCTAGAGCTTCATTATCTTTTGTGGAATGTAAGCATAGTGAAGGCAAAGGCCGCTTTTATGACTTTCTCATTCTCAACAAAATGATTGACATGTACAAGAGACTTCATGACTTAATTTCAAGGGTCTGCTAACATCTCAGCAAAAAGATCAAAGTGACTTCATTTGAAAATAAGAAGAAATATGATATTAAATATTAATGGGAAGAGTCAATAATAAAAAGTGTTAAATATTTGCAAATGAGTCCAAAAGTATAATGAAATTCAAATCAAAGTCTCAATTGTGGTGGATTTATGTGTTTTTGTTTGTTTTGTTGGAACATTAAAAGCATTCTAAAGGCCAGGCACAGTGACTCATGTCTGTAATCCAGTAGCTTTAGGAGACTGAGGTACAGGGCTCTCTTGAGGCCAAGAGTTCAAGACCAGCCTGGGCAACATAGTGAGACCCTGTCTCTACAAAAAATTTAAAAATTAGCCAAACAAAGTGCCATGCACCTGTAGTACTAGTTGCTCAGGAGGCTGAAGCAGGAGGATTGCTTGAGCACAGAAGCTCAAGGCTGCAGTGAGTTATGATGTTGTCATTGCACTCCAGCCTAACTTACAAAGCAAGATCCTGTCTCTAAAATATTCAATAAAACAAAACAAAATTACTCTAAAACTCATCTTAAATGGTGAACTTGTATTTATTTATGGAAAAGAATCTTTTAAAAATTTTATCAGGAAGAATATACCGTATCAGTTATTATACACTATTCAAAAGCTAGAATAATTAAAGCAATGGAATTGGTAGAAAAATAGATGTATAGATCAACATCGCATAACTGAGAATTAAAAATGATCCATGGACATAAGAGAATTTAGGTTTTTCTACAGAGAGCATTTTGTATCAGGAAATAAAGGATGACATATTCAATAAAGGTTGAGACATTTGGTTAACCGTTTGGAGGAGGAAAAATTTAGATTCCTACCATATAACAAAACAAATACTAAATGGATTAACAATATCAAAGTAAGTAAAATAAAAACAAGACAACAAATAAAAGTACTAGTGGATTGTAGGCTTTTTTTTTTTTTTTTTTTTTTTTTTTTTTGTCGCTCAGGCTGGAGTGCAGTGGCGCGATCTCTGCTCACTGCAAGCTCCGCCTCCTGGGTTCACGCCATTCTCCTGCCTCAGCCTCCGGAGTAGCTGGGACTACAGGCTTCTGCCACCACGCCCAGCTAATTTTTTTGTATTTTTAGTAGAGACGGGGTTTCACTGTGTTAGCCAGGATGGTCTGGATCTCCTGACCTTGCGATCCGTCTGCCTCGGTCTCCCAAAGTGCTGGGATTACAGGCGTGAGCCACCGCGCCCAGCCGACGTTGGTTTTATAGTACGATCTCGTCATCTTTTATTTATCGATCGAATTGCCTTTTCATATAGTTTACCCATCTATATATCTATGTAAGTATCTATTTTGAAGTGCTTTTGGTTTCTAGAATGATAGAATTTCTTTTTTTTTTTCTTCTTTCTTTTTTTTTTTTTTTTTTTTTTTGAGACTAGTCTGGCTCTGTCGCCCAGGCTGGAGTGCAGTGGCGCGATCTGGGCTCACTGCAAGCTCCGCCTCCCGGGTTCGCGCCATTCTCCGGCCTCAGCCTCCCGAGTAGCTGGAACTACAGGCGCCCGCCACCACGCCCGGCTAATTTTTGTATTTTTAGTGGAGACGGAGTTTCGCCATGTTGGTCAGGCTGGTCTCAAACTCGTGACCTCATGATCTGCCCGCCTCGGCCTCCCAAAGTGCTGGGATTAGAGGCGTGAGCCACTGCGCCTGGCTAAAATGATAGAATTTCTAAACTATTTTTTTGGTTTTTACATTTCTGACTACATTGCATTGTATGTAATATGAAGTGTGCTCTGTAGGAAGTGAATACGTTGGTATTTGGGTTTTGTTCGTTCGTTTGTTTGTTTGTTTGCTTGTTTGTTTTGAGACAGGGTCTCACTTTGCCGCCCAGGCTGGAGTGCGGTGGGACGATCTCAGCTTACTGCAGCCTCAACCTCTCAGGCTCAAGTGATCCTCCAGCCTCAGCCTTCTGAGTAGCTGAGACTACAGGCCCGCACCACCACACCCGGCTAATGTTTTTGCATTTTTTGTAGACATAGGGTTTTTACCATGTTGTCCAAGCTGGTTTTGAACTCCTGAGCTCAAACGATCTGCCAGCCTTGGTCTCCCAAAATGCTGGGATTACAGGTGTGCACTACTGTGCCTGGCCTGCTTGTATTTGTTGATGTATTTGTTGTGTCTAGACTGTGGTCACTCTACTAATTATCTGTTTCCTCTAATTATTGGGGGCAGGATTCTGTATATGTCCACTAGAATGTGCTTATTAATTGTGTTGTTCAAGACATTTTATATTTCCTAGTTATTCATTGGCTTGCTATGTCAGTTTCTGAGAGGGATGTGTTAAAAATATCTACCATGTGGGATGGCGGGAGGGAGAGCATTAGGAAAATTAGTTAATGCATGCTGGGCTTAATACCTAGGTGATGGTATTAAGCAAAACACCATGGCACACGTTTACCTATGTAGCAAACCTGCACATCCTGCACATGTATCCCGGAATTTTTAAAAAAAGAATAAAACTACTCTGTATCAGCCATGCAAAAAACAAAACCAAAACAAAAACCTACCATGATTGGGGAATTTAACAATTTCTTTTAGTTTATCTATCATTGTTTATCTTTATATATTTTTGTGGCTATATTGTTGGGTGCAAACAAGTTCAGGATTGTTTTATTTTCTTGATAACTCTTCTTTTTATTAGTCAATAATGACTTTTTATACCTAACATTATTGCCTTAAATTCTATTTCATATAATTGGTATTGTTTCATTACCTTTATTTGTTTAGTACTTACCTGAAATATTTTTCAATAAGTTTACTTCAAATTTTAAGAATCATTGTATTTTATGTTTCTGAAGAACATGAGAGCATAAAACATAGATAAAATTTGTATTTCAATTCAGATAATCTCTGATTTGTAACAGGTGGTTTCATGTTTACATTTATGAGGATTCCTTATATTGGATTTATTTCTATCATCTTATTTTATGTTTTCTAGTTACCATATTTTTTCTTATTATTTGGGTTTTTACTTTTTCCTGCTCTCTACTGCATTTCTTGAGTTTGTTGCCTTTTTTTCCTCCTCCAGTGTTTTGAAAGACACGTATTTTATTCCTTTTAGAAGTTACCCTTAAATTTTGAGTATGTCATGCTTAATTTTTAAAAAAGCTAAAGCTCAACAGTAGCTCCATTTTCTCTCTCCCCATGTTATTGTTCTCTAATTTGTTAGTTTTACCAGTTTTTGAAAATCTCTCTAAATTAGCCTTTATTATTAGAGTTGTAGGGTATCTCATATACAGAACTTATCTTCCTGTCTTGAAATTAGAATTCATATGGAGAAATAAGGGTGGAAACAGGCAAGAATGAGAGTTGAAAATCAAAATACAATGTTAGCTTTATTTCAGGTAGGTCTGATTGCAGAGAGAGATTTTAGATCTGTGGACAGATGAGCTTGCTGATACTGTATTCCTGAATTAAATGGGCTTCATGCCTGATGGCAGAGTGGGACAACAACAAGTGTCCCCAATAAGGCTGTTTGCACAGACCACGCAGACAAGAATGCAGCTTCTCTGGGAGATGCAGCTCTGAAGGAGAGAAAACAGTAGGGGCTGAGCCAAGCACGTTGAGGCCTTTCTTCTAAACTTTGCAGTCCTCCTGCCTGGTGGAAGAATGGTTGAGGAGGCAGAAAGAAGTGCACAGTGTTCTCATATTATCACTTGAGGAGATTAGAGTAGACCTTTTCTCCTCTCTATGGACATATGAGCGGGAAACAGTTGTTCCTCTAACCATTGTTACTATTATTGCTGCTGTTATGAAAGTTGTTTTCCATATTCCCTGCAAAAGTCTGATTTACCTTGGAGCTGATATTTCAGTTTCAGCTCCCTAGTCTGCAAAGACACTTCCAAGGTCCGGGAAGAAGAAGTAGCCCCAGGAGAGTTAGAGGAAGGCAGCTCTGCCAGCCTGGAGGTCACTCTGCTCACCCTAGTGGTAGTCCTGGAGCTGCAGCATGGGGGTTGGGTACCAGGCCCCAGTGACAACTTGAACCTTAGGACATCAGCCTCTTCCCCAAGGAAAACATTCTGCGACACGGCTCTACTCCCAGCCCCAGGGCCATGTGACCGGGCTTCATGGTCCCTTTGGCACACGCTCTGCCCCTGACAACAGCCCTGGCAAGGCCGAGGGTGGCAGGGATACTGGGTGTGGTAAAACCCAGTCGACCTTGACCAGCTTGCTGTGACTGTGAGATCAAAGGGCTGAAGTTATGTCTGAGGATTCCCCTCGACTACCAATAACAAATTGTGAAGCTAAAATAAACTTTTCTCAACTATGACTGATTAAAAACAAATAAATTTTGCTACTTCGGGAGCTGAGGCAAAGAGGATCATTTGACACCAGGAGTTGGGGGCTGTAGTGTGCCACAGTCACACCTGTGACTAGCCACTGCATTCTAGCCTAGGCAATATAGTAAGATCGCATCTCTAAAAACAAACAAACCAACAAACCACAAATATTGACCTACTGTGTTAGAAGACTAATCTATCCTTACAAGACAGACTTATCTCTCTACTTTTTTAAAATAGAAGATGATACTTAGAAATTATTGTCACATTAAGAGGTGATCAAAGAATATATAGCCAAAAAATGTAAGGAATAAAATGTATAAAAAAGAAAGGGATTGGTTATAATAAAATAATTGAAGCTTGTATTTTAGTCCCGGATTTTGTGATGTTTTGAGGCACTTAACTACAACTTAAATTGTCGTGATTTTTATTTTTATTCTCAGTAAATCTAAACTTTTGTACCTAAGTATTTATTAATAATTTGGTATTCCTTTCTTTAAAAAGCACCCCCCCCCACTCCCCCGCCAAACTATTAAAGCTTTAGATCCCACAAAACTTGGGCCAAACTCAGCTTTTTTTGTTTTACGAGTCATGTTTGCTGAACTAGGTGCAGGGGCTCACACCTGTAATCCCAGCAACGAGGGAGGCTGAAGCAAGAGGATTGCTTGAGGCCAGAAGTTTAAATCCAGGCTGCAAAACACAGTGAGATCGTATGTCTCTACAAAAAAATTTTACAAAATTAGCCGGGGATGGCGGCATGTACCTGCAGTCTCAGCTATTTGGTAGGCTGAGGTGGGAGGAACCCTTTAGCCCAGCAGTTTGAGGCTGCAGTGAGCTGTGATTGTACTACTGCATTCTAGCCTGGGTAAGAGTGAGACCTTGACTCAAAAAGATTTTAAAAAATTTTTATTTATTTTTATTTTTTGAGACAAAATATTGCTCTGTCACCTAGGCTGGAGTGCAGTGGTGTGATCTCAGCTCACTGCAATCTCTGCTTCACAGGTTCAAGTGATTCTCCTGCCTCAGCCTCCCAAGTAGCTGGGACCACAGGCATGCACCACCACACAAAGCTAATTTTTGCATTTTTAGTAGAGATGGGTTTCACTGTGTTGGCCAGGCTGCTCCCAAACTCCTGACCTCAAGTGATCCGCCTGTCTTGACCTCCCAAAGTGCTGGGATTATAGGTGTGAGCCACTGTGCCTGACCTGTTTATTTAATTCCTTTGCTTACCATTTCTCCTTATTTTTCCCATCTCTCTTCCGGGTCCCTTTTCCTTATTGATCAAGTACAGTCATGCAGCACGTAATGATGGACTGCGCATATGACAATGGTCCCATAGATCGTGATGGAGCTGAAAAATGCCCATGTGATATCACAGCTGCTGTAATATCATAATGCAATGCATCACTCACTTGTTTGTAGTGTAAGCAAACCTACTGAGCTGCTAGTCATATAAAAGTATGGCACATACAATTATATACAGTACATGTGACTGGCTTTTATATTTACTATATTATACTTGTTATCATTATTCTAGAGTGCACGCCTTCTAGTTATTTTTTAAAAAGTTAACTGTAAAACAGCCTCAGGCAGGCCCTTCAGGAGGTATCCAGAAGAAAGCATTGTAATCACAGGAGATGATAGCTCCATGTGTGTTACTGCCCCTGAAGACCTTCCAGTGGGACAAGATGTGGAGGTAAGACAGTGATGTAGATGATCCTGACCCTGTCTGGGCCTAGGCTAGTGTATGTCTTTGTATCTTGGCTTTTAACAATATTTTAAAAGGTGTTTTTGTTTGTTTGTTTGTTGTTTTTGTTTTCGTTTTGAGATGGAGTTTCGCTCTTGTTGCCCAGGCTGGAGTGCAATGGCATGATCTCGACTCACTGCAACCTACTCCTCCTGGGCTCAAGCAATTCTTCTGCCTCAGCCTCCCAAGTAGCTGGAATTACGGGCATGCACCACCACACCAGCTAATTTTGAATTTTTACCAGGGATGGGGTTTCTCCATATTGGTCAGGCTGGTCTCGAACTCCCGACCTCAGGTGATCCACCTGCCTTGGCCTCCCAAAGTGCTGGGATTACCAGCATGAGCCACTGCGCCTGGCCAACATTTTAAAAGTGTTTTAAAAAAGTAACGAAAGGAAGCTTGGCCAGGTGCAGTGGCTCACCTCTGGATTCCTAGTGCTTTGGGATGCCAAAGTGGGAGGATGGCTTGAGGCCAGGAGTTTAAGACCAGCTTTGGGCAACAAAGCAAGACCTCGTCTCTACAAAAAAAGTTAAAAATTAGCCAGGTGTGGTGACACACACCTGTAGTCCCAGCTAATCAGGAAACTGAAACTGGAGGATTGCTTTTTTTGTTTTGTTTTGGTTTGTTTTGGGTTTTTTTTTTGAGACGGAGTCTCGCTCTGTCACCCAGGCTGGGGTGCAGTGGTGCGATCTCAGCTCATTGCAACTTCTGCCTCCTGGGTTCAAGCAATTCTCCTGCCTCAGTCTCCCGAGTAGCTGGGATTATGGGTGCATACCACCACATCCAGCTAATTTTTTTTTTTTTTTTTGTATTTTTGGTAGAGATGGGGTTTCACCATGTTGGACATGCTGATCTCAAACTCCTGACTTCAAGTGATCCGCTCGCCTCAGCCTCTCAAAGTGTTGGGATTACAGGCGTGAGCCACTGTGCCCGGCCCAGAGGATTGTTTGAGTCCCGGAGTTCAAGGCTGCAGTGAACCATAAAAGCCCTGCTGCACTCCAGACAAGACATCACTATTGTAGGTTGTTTTTTGATACATTGTATCACGTTTTTTGAAACAAGAGTGAGAACTTGTATCAAAAAAAAAAACGAAAAGAAAAAAGCTTATAGAATACACATATAAAGAAAGAAAATATTTTTGAACAGCTCTTTACTGTGTTCATGTTTCAAGTGTTATCAGAAGAGTCAAAAAAGGCCAGGCACAATGGCTCATGCCTGTAATTCCAGTGCTTTGGGAGGCTGAGAAGGGAGGATGGCTTTAAGCCAGGAGTTCAAGACCAGCTGGGGCAATAAAGTGAGAACCTCCAGTCTCTAAAAACAATTTTAAAATGAGCTGGGCCTGATGGCACGTGTCTGTAGTCCCAGTTACTTGGGAGGCTGAGGTGGGAGAATCACTTGAGCCCTAGATTTCGAGGCTGTAGTGAGCTATGAGTGCAGCACTGGACTCCAGCCTGGGCAACTGAGCAAGAATTTTTTTTTTTTTTTTTTGAGACAGAGTCTTGCTCTGTCACCCAGGCTGAAGTGCAATGGCACAACCGCGGCTCACTACAACCTCCACCTCCCAGGTTCAAACAATTCTTCTGCCTCAGCCTCCCAAGTAGCTGGGATTACAGGCGCATGCCACCATGACTGGCTAAATTGTTTTATTTTTAGTAGAGACAGGGTTTCACCATGTTGACCAGGCGGGTCTCGAACTCCTGACCTCAGGTGATCCACCCACCTTGGCCTCCCAAAGTGCTGGGATTACAAGTGTGAGTCACTGTACCCATCCAAGCAAAAGAGAGAGAGAGAGAAAGAGAAGGAGAAGGAGAAGGAGAGGAAGGAAGGAAGAAAAGAAGGAAGGAAGGAAGGAAAGGGAGGACAGAAGGGAGGGAGGGAAGAGAGAGAGGGAAAGAAAGAAAGAGAGAAAGAGAGAGAGAGAAAGAAAGAAAGAAAGAGAAAGAAAGAAAGGAAGAAGGAAGGAAGGAAGGAAAGAAAGAGGGAGGGAGGGAAGGGAGGACGCAAGGAAGGGAGGGAGGGAAGAGAGGAAAAAATGAAAAGGAAAGAAAGAAGAAAGAAAGAAAACGAACAGACGGAGGGACGGAGGGAGGGAGAGAGGGAAGGAGGGAGGGAAAGAAGGGAGGATGGAAGGGAGGGAGAGAAGAGAGAGGGAAAGAAAGAAAAAGGAAGGAAGGAAAGAAGGTCTAAAAGTTTTTTTTAATTAAGATTATAAAGTGAAAAGGTTACAGTAAGCTAAGATTAATTTATTATTGAAGAAATGAATGAATTGAATGCAGCCTCAGTGTCCAGTGTTGATAAAGTCTACAGTAGCATACGGTAAAGTCGTAGGCCTTCACAGACACTCCCCACTCACTCACTCACTCATCCAAGCAACTGCCAGTCCTGCAAGCTCCATTCATGGTAAGTGCCTTATACAGGTGAATCATTTTAAAATCTTTTAAATTGTATTTTTGCTGTCATCTTTCCTATGTTTAGATACACAAAATACTTAGCATTGTGTTCCAGTTGCCTGTAGTGTTCAGCACAGTCACATGGTGTACAGGTGTGTAACCTAGGAGCAACAGGCTGTCCCACACAGCCTAGGTGTGGAGTAGGCTATGCTGTGTAGCTTTGTGTAAGTGCACTCTATGATGTTCACACAAAGATGGAAGTGCCTAACGATGCATTTCTCAGAATGTATGCCCATCATTAAGCGACACATGACTGTTTATTTGTAGTTCTTCCAGTGAAGGTCTGTTAATGGTGAATTCTAATAGGGTGATCATTTAGCCCTCACTCTTGAATAAAGCGGCTGGATAAAGAATTCTATCCTGGGGTTTTCCTCCCTTGGCCAGGCACAGTGGCTCATGCCTGTAATCCCAGCACTTTGGGAGGCCGAGGCAGGTGGATCATGAGGTCAAAAGATTGAGTCCATCCTGGCTAACATGGTGAAACCCTGTCTCTACTAAAAATACAAAAATTAGCTGGGCATAGTGGCGTGTGCCTGTCGTCCGAGCTACTCAGGAGGCTCAGGCAGGAGAATTGCTTGAGCCCAGGAGGCAGAGGTTGCAGTGAGCAGAGATCGCCCCACTGTACTCCAGCCTGGTGATACAGCAAGACTCTGTCCCAGAAAAAAAAAAAAAAAAGAATTCTATCCAGGGGTTTTCCCTCCTTTCAGCACCTAGAATTGTTATGTCACTTCTGGGGTGTGTCACTGTTGTACAGAATTGAACGTTTTCCTTTGAAGGTAGCCTATTTTACCCCCTGTCTTTTCTGTGTCTTTGGTGCTCTGCAGTTCCACTCTCATATGTCTAGTTTTGAATTTGTTTTTATTTAACCTGCAAGGGCCTGGGGGCACTTCAACAATCTGAGGATTTATGTCCTTTTTCAATTTTGGAAAAGTGTCACTCTTTAGCATTTTATTTTTTTAATTGTTTTTAATAAATACTGAGAAGATACAAAACAATATTTTAAAAATATGTAAGGTATAAAGTATAATGGAAAAAACAAAAAATGAATAATAGTACAACCCCTATGTCCTCGCCCTCAAGTGTAGGAAAAGAGTGCCAAAGCCACACCATTGCTTTTGAATTCCTTGTCCGCCTCCCTAGACCCGCTGGTTTCCATTCTGGAGACCATTATAATCCTAAATTCGATAGTTATCATTTCCTTGTAGTTTCACAAAGAAATATAGTTATGCATGTTTTAAACTGTATATCATTTGACTAAAGCTGTGTTTTTCTTTGTTTTCTCCACTCAAAATTATGTTCTTCAGATTCTCGTGCATTGATGGACACAGGTGTAATTTATTCATACTCATTACTATATAGTATTCTGTCACCCATATTTTATTCATTCTGTTGTCAATGGACATAGATTTGCTTCTAGTTTTTTTATTAGTAAGAATAGTGCTGCTTGGGCTGGGCGCGGTGGCTCATGCCTGTAATCCCAGCACTTTGGGAGGCCAAGGCAGGCAGGTCACTTGAGGTCAGGAGTTTGAGACAGCCTGGCCAACATGGTCTCTACTAAATATCCCCATCTCTACTAAAAATACAAAAATTTGCCAGGCGTGGTGGCATGCACCTGTAAGCCCACCTACTCGGGAGACTAAGGCAGGAGAATCACTTGAATCCGGAAGGCAGAGGTTGCAGTGAGCAGAGATCATGCCACTACACTCCAGCCTGGGCAACAGAGTGAGACTCTGTCTCCAAAACATAAAAGTAAAAATAAAAATAAAAGAATAGTGCTGCTTTAAGCATTTTCATAAATGCCTCCTGGAACAGGACAGTTTCTCTAGAGTTTACACCTAGGAGTGGAATTGCTAGGTCATAGAGTATGTATGTGCATTTTCACATAGCAAAATTGGTCTCCAGAGTGACAATTAATTTACACTTCCATCAACAATATATGAGAAATTGTCTTGCTTCACATCCCATTCAACGCACAGTAGTGTCAGGTTTCCATTTTTGCAAACTTTGTGGATGTGTAACAGTACTTCATAGCAGAATTAATTTGTATTTTCCTGATTGCTAATGAGTGAGTGACATTTTGTACATCTATAAAACACTTGTGTAATTATTTTGACTCTTTGGTGAAAATAGATGTCTTTTTTATTGATTTGTAAGAATTCTTTACATGTTTAGGAGACTAATCCCTTGACAATTACACATTTAGCAAATATCTCATCCTAGTCTGTGGCTGGTCATTTCATTCTCATTAGAGTGTCTTTTGATAAATAGATGTTTTCATTTTAAATGTAGGCCAATTTGTCAATTTTTCCTTTGTGGATTTCAATTTTTGTTTCCTGTCTAAGAAAATGTTTACATCCCTAAGTTCAGATGAGTATTCTCCCAGACTAACTTCTAAAGTTTCTGTAGGGTTGTATTTCACATATAGCTCATTAATACACATAGAGTTGGTTTTTGTGTGTGACGTGATGTATTAGTGTTAAGTCCTAAGTACCCTTATGTATTCTACTCTTGTTTGTTTTTATAAGTATGTTCTTATCTACCATCTCACTTATATACACAGCTATACTAAGGGACGTAGAAAAATGGTACTTTTTGAGAAATTTATAGACTTGATGCTTAAAGGCTGAAAATTAAGTAGCTGTGTTTTCAAACTTGAGTGTTAAAGAATAACAGAAAAAAAAATCACAAAAAAGTAGGATGAAGACTGCTATAGAGATGAGAGCAGAAACCAAATAAATAACCACCATATAAATAATAGATCAATTAAACAGAAGTCAATTAAATAGGAAACACATAAATAATAGAAATGCTCAAGGAATCCAAAATACTGCTCTTTGAAAAGTCTAAAAAAGTAGATATCTGGTAAGACTACTCAAAAAAACAAAAGAAGAAAAGGCAAAAATAAATATTGTTAAACTGACAAAAGTGTCATAAGTTCAGATGCAGCAGAAATTAAAAGGTTAAGAGAATGCTTTAATCAACTTTATGCCAATAAAATTAAAAACTCAGAAGAAAAAATACTCATTTCCAGAAAAATGTATGTCTATTTTGCATCTATCCAGCTAAATTCTCTTGTTAATTCTAATAATTTCCCTGTGCATAATTTTCAGTTTTCTGTCTGGAGCAGCTATACAATACATGAACTGTTACAGTATTACTCTTCCCCCATTGTTTCTTTGAATGTCACTACAGTTGTATTTCTGGAATGCCAATAAAAGTATAGTTATTTTGTACTTCTCATTCTGTCCTCCAGGCCTCCTAACCTCTCTTTTGTATTTTCAGTTTGTTTGTTTGTTTTTTTTTTTCTGAGACAGAATCTTGCTCTGTTGCCCAGGCTGGAGTACAGTGGCATGACCTCGGCTTACCACAACTTCCGCCTCCCAGGCTCCAGCGATTCTCAGCCTCAGCCTCCCAAGTAGCTGGGACTACAGGTGCATGCACTATGCCCGGCTAATTTTTGTATTTATGAATTTGACTCCTGTAGTGTGGATTTATATTTGGCTCTCAAGGGTCCCAGAGTTGTTGTGGGCCTTGGCCCAATTTGTTTTTTCTTGTGCAACTTTTTTGTTAGTTTAGCAGCTGAGGATTCTCACCTTATATAGTGATGTGTGATGTGTCTCGGGTGTGAGGATGTGTATGTGTATTTGCGAGAGGTATTGGGTATGAGGATGTCTGTGCTGAGTGATTTCTAATTCTTCTACTCTTTAATACATTTACTTTACCTTGTCCTTATTCAAACAATCATGACTTCTAAATTATTGAGGCTCAAAAAAAGTTTTTCTCTATGTGATCTGCCAATATGTATGTACTGATTTTCTTTAAGTCAAAGATTTTTAAAAATACTTAATTCTAAAGTGAGAGGAAAATAGAAAATATTCTGCAGAACTGTCACACCAAACTTTGCTCAGTATATTATTTGAAAATTTTTCTCATGGTTCCTGCTTCCTTCAGAAAGCTTTTGCAATAAATTATATTAAAACAAATTCTATACAGAACACAAGACTGCCAGTACAGCAAAATGTGTGAGAAAATTTCTCACAATGGACTTTCAGTGGAATATGAACATCTCTTTTCTAGATGATATAACTTTCCTAAGATCTTAGAAGACATTTTAAAAGTTTCTCTTGCCAGGCGTGGTGGCTCACACCTGTAATCCCAGCACTTTGGGAGGCCGAGGCAGGCGGATCACCAGGTCAGGAGATCCAGACCATCCCGGCTAATACGGTGAAACCCCGTCTCTACTAAAAATACAAAAAATTAGCTGGGCATGGTGGCGGGCGCCTGTAGTCCCAGCTACTCCGGAGGCTGAGGCAGGAGAATGGCGTGAACCCGGGAGGCGGAGCTTGCAATGAGCCGAGATGGTGCCACTGCACTCCAGCCTGGGCGACAAAGTGAGACTCCGTCTCAAACAACAACAACAAAAAAAAAAAAAAAAAAAAAAAAAAACACAAAAGTTTCTCTTATACAGAAGGAAAGAAGAAAGGAGGAAGGAAGAAAGGAAGGAGGGAAGGGAAGGGAAGGGAAGGGGGAAGGAAGGGAGGGAAGGAAGAAGGAAAAAAGGAAGGAAGGGAGGGAGGAAGTGAGAAAGGAAGGAAGGGAGGGAAGAATAAAATCTAATAAAGTTTTACCAAATATAAATACATTTTTATATCTGTTCTTCATACCTAGCATTTCCCATTATTAATTATTGGTAGTCCTAGATATGCTGTGGTGTGAGTCAAAAATGTAAGAGCCAATTATGACAGAACAGCCTGGCAGTATGTGACCCTCGAATTGGACCCATCTATTGAGTTGGGGACAAAACGACAGCACCAAATTCAGCCCAGGCCATGGTGAGAGATGCCTCAGCGCAGGCTTCACCCGGGACCTGTAGACTGCGGCCGCAGGGCTTCCCCAGAATGGGAACCAGCTTGAGACTCCTCCAATCTCAGATTCTCCCTTTACTGGTTGTATAACCTGACACAAATTCTTTTTTTTTTGGAGGGGGCGGCGGGGGATGGAGTTTCTTGTCGCCCAGGCTGGAGTACAGTGGCATGATCTCAGCTCACCACAACCTCCGCCTCCCAGGTTCAAGCAATTCTCCTGCCTCAGCCTCCTGAGTAGCTGGGATTACAGGTGCCCGCCACCACGCCCGGCTAATTTTTTGTATTTTTTTTTTGGTAGAGACGGGGTTTCACCACGTTGGGCAGGCTGGTCTCGAACTCCTGACCTCAGGTGATCTGCCTGCCTCGGCCTCCCAAAGTGCTGGGATTACAGGCGTGAGCCACCGCACCCAGCAACCTGATACAAATTCTTTTACTTCACATTTTCCAGTATGCTTACCTGTAAAACAGAGATATTATCTACCTCATAGGATCCTTAGGAAGATCATATGAGGTCACAAATGCAGAGCCCATGGCACTGTGCCCTGTCACACCGCGAGCACTTGACTAATGTGAACTGTCAATGCAAGCAGTAGGCGTCAGGGCGTGTTCAATAAGCAGGGAGCTGATATTTGGCAATCCAGGCAGGCTGGCAGCATCATATACAGTTTTCAGCAGGTAACAAGATGACAGCAATGAACCAAGAGTTGAAGGACCAGATCCCAGTCCCAACGGAGGTGGAAGGATAAAATAGACATTGTGGCAAAAGCAAAGAAGAGCCCCAGGCTCAGGAGAATAGAGTAGGCAGGATTCAGTGGCTGGGGCTCAATCCTAAGAAACAAGACAAGGATGTGGTTAGCAAAACTGTTGGACAAAGTGAAGACTGGGCCTTGGCTGAAGGTACAGCACAGAACTGGAGGAGCAGTGGCAAAGGAGAACGGGTGTCCATTCTCAAAGCATCTAGACATAGCTTTGGAAATTCACTGCATGTCACCCTAATGAAGCCCCGTTAGCTGACTATTGGTCCCGGAGCCAGCGTAGGGGAACTTGCTGGAGATGATAAATAAAATATTTTTAGATTTATTTGTTTATTATAAAAGAAATTAAATCAGATCCTGACCGAATAATGTAATGCCAAGAAGCATATAACATATAGCATCTTATACTTGAGTTAACAAAGTTAGAAATTAAAACAAAGTATCTAGAAAATACATCACAACTCAGCTACAAATAGCCTATTTTTAGACCCATCATGCTAATAACTTTATTTCTCTGTAGTGCAAGGAAATATCTAATGTCTATATCTAATAATTGTAATAGTCTGAGCTCTTTGGCAGTATAGAGAAAAAGCATTTTCAACAGGGGTTTTAGTTATTTTTTTAAAAAAATCCCAAGGCTGGGCACGGTGGCTCATGCCTGTAATCCCAGCAATTTGGGAGGCCGAGGCAGGCGGACCATCTGAGGCCAGGAGTTCGAGACCAGCCTGGCCAACATGGTGACACCCTGTCTTTACTAAAAATGCAAAATTAGCTGGGTGCAGTGGCATGTGCCTGTAGTCCCAGCTACTTGAGAGGCTGAGACAGCAGAATCTCTTGAACCCGGGAGGTGGAGGTTGCAGTGAGCTGAGATTGAGCCACTACACTCCAGCCTGGGTGACACAGCTAGACTCTGTCTCAAAAGATAAAATAAAATAAAATAAAATAAAATAAAATAAAATAAATAAATCTCAAGTCTGTAGGGTGGCCACACAGCCTTTTTGCATGCCATTTAAAAATTATATATGTGCTCTGCATTGTACAACTTTTATTTCCCCCATGTTGTCTAGAAATTTTCCCCATGTTGATATCTGGAAATCATTAAAGCAATCCATGATGGCTGTTTCTAGTTCTTTGACTCTTGCTACGTGGAGCAGAGAACTTTTCTTCTATAATGTCCCAGGGCAAAATTCCACATTTCAGAAGTAGGGCTCCTGGGGAGGCCCTGTGGGCTTGGGGTTCCCTAACTACGAGAGCAGAGTACTGGCATAGGAGGGTGGTCGCCTCACGTTCTCCCTCCTGCAGAGACCACCCTTGCAGTATGTTCAGACGAGCAGAGTGACTGGCATGTGTCTTGAAAAAATATGGCTCCAGCAAGTGATGTTCTGAAGTCATTGCCCACGTTGTGACACGAGGATTCTGCTCAATTTCCCTAGAATAATGGATTGATCAGCCGGGCTCGGTGGCTCACACCTGTAATCCCAGGTCTTTGGGAGGCCGAGGTGGGAGGATCACTTGAGGTCAGGAGTTTAAGACCAGCCTGGCCAACATGGTGAAACCCTGGCTCTACTAAAAATATGAAAATTAGCCAGATGTGGTGGTGCATGCCTGTAATCCCAGCTACTCAGGAGGCTGAGGCAGGAGGATCACCTGAATCTGAGAAGTGGAGGTTGCAGTGAGCCAAGATGGTGCCAGTGCACTCCAACCTGGGTGACAGAGAGAGACTCCGTCTCAAAAAAAAAAAAAAAAAAAAAAAAGAAAGAAAGAAAGCAAAACAGAAGAGAAAAGAATAATGGATTGATTGCTAAGAACATATCCTCATGCATAGGGGCCTTGTGCCTGCTCAGGAAGTGTCGGGAAAGCTCAAATATATCAGTCACACTGGTCCCCTGCTTGGAGGAGCAGGCATTGCCCCAGTATTGCTCTAACTGGTTTCAGAGGTCATTCGTTCAGTGGAGGACCAGGTCCTAGGTTAGGCCCTGGATATGCAAAAATGTGGGGGTGCCCTTCTGGAGCACCCTTTTTGGGGTTGGGACATGAACACTCACAAATATTTACACCATAATACAATAAAGGCTAAGATCGTGATGCCCACAAGCTGGTTTCATAGCTCTGAGGTGACTATTCCATAGGGCGTGTGGGAACTGTGATCAAGGAGGGCTTCACAAAGGCCAGTGATATTTGGGCCGAGTTTGGAAAGATGGCAGCTTCTTAACAAGCAATGGGAAAGAACACAGGAGGCAGCAAACGTAAAGGCGGAGAGGCGTGAGCAAGCCCGGTGGGGCAGGGGTTAGCAGTGGAATTCGTCAAGGACCGCTTCTCAGAGAGGGCTAGTAGTGAGCCTGACTTGGGAGCAGTGGCTGGACATTTGGGGGAATGACACGAACCAAGGCACAGAGAGAGGAACCAGCAACAGTGGGTGAGGGCGGAGAGGCCAGGGCCGTCCTGAGGGGCACCATGGTGGACTGGAGGGCCACGGGGCAGTGAGGCCTGAAAGAAAAGGAGCAGATAGGGGCTGCCTTAGGGTTGGGAGGCTGTGGCTAGGAGGACAAGAAGTTGGTGAAGGAAACAGAAAGTGTGGAAGAAGCTAGAATGGTCTCAGGGAAATCAGGGAAGGGGAAAAATAATTTTGAGACTCACAGAGTCACCGGTGGCCACTAACTGGTCCATTCGCCACAGGAAACTGAAGTCTGTCAGTAGGTGCCTCTTTCAGGTGGAGGACCGCCATCTGCCCTTGAGACTTCCATCCCACCCACACCCCTGAGTCCTCCCGCACATATCTGGCACTTAGAAGGGCTTATATCATGTAAACAGACCTCCTATCTCAGCTCTAATCCGCAGGAGTAGAATTAGTTACAAAACACCACGCTCCAGATATCAATACATATTTCTAAAAGATGGAAGCAGGGGAAAGCCAAGAAAAGACAAGAGGGTTTTTCTAGAAGAAAGAAGGTAATGAGAAATCAGAGATGGAAATTTTCCAGGAACCAGATGAGGCTAGAAATTAGAATGTGGCAGGGGTTATGGAATAAAATGGAGTCAGTGGGGCCAATTGTTTAAGGAATTTCTCTCTGGAAAATCAGCAAGGAAGAATACTAATTGGAAAGGCTAAGAGGGTCTTACTCATCTTCTACAGTTTTATGTTTGTTTGTTTCTGAGACAGGGTCTCTTGCTCTGTTGCCCAGGATGGTGCATAGTGGCATGATCATGGCTCACTGCAACCTCAACCTCCCAGGCTCAAGCAATCCTCCCAGCTCAGCCTCTCAAGTAGCTGGGACTGCAGGAGTGCACCACCACACCTGGCTAATTTTATTTTTTATTTTTTTTGTAGAGACTGGGTCTCATTTTGTTGCCCAGGCTGGCCTTGAACTCCTGGCCTGAAGTCACCCTCCCACCTAGGCCTCCCAAAGTGTTGGGATTACAAGTATGAGCCATCGCAACCATCCATCTTCTACAGTTTTAACCTCAAGCCTAAAATTGCTATGACTTCCATGAATTATCTCACATTAGTAAGAGGATCTAGCCTGGCTAATGATACATGTATCAAATGATAAATTATAGTTTGTAACATTGTTTTTTTCCTAGACCCAGTGATGTCTTTAGTAACCATGTCTGGCTGTGTCTCTCGCTCTCTCTCTGTCATTCTACCTCTCTCATCCCTCCCTCTTCTTCCCCACTTCTGTTCCCTTCCAGTTTCTTCCTTCCTTGTCCTCTTCTCCACATCACTGTGGGTGACATGGACTCTCATATCTGTGCATGAACCAATCCTTGTCATTGCAGCCAAAGGGACCCACGTGGGCCCACATGGTAGGGTGCAGGTTCCAGAGGCCTAGGGCCAGCAGCTTCCTTTACTTCCCTCTTCCCTCCTGCCTTGGTACCAGCCTCCTTTTGTAGCGGTAGAGGATCTATGGTGCTTCGTCATCACCTCTAAAGTAAAAATGTTCTACATCATCCCCTGTCCTATGTAGCCACAGAATCATGGCATTAACTTGGGCTTGCCTGGAAAAGAGCCCCCCCTACTGCATGACCCTCCTTCTCAGTACCCATCTCCATCTATCAAGAGTCTATCATGCCATGGTCAGCGGTGGCAAACCCTGGGATTCCAGCTTTGAGGGAATGGGTTGAGGATCCATGAGACTGAACTGTTCAGAAGGAAAGAAAAACTTTTCCAATATTTAGGTATGTTCTCCTTTTCATACCTTCAGCTCATTAATATCTAGGGCTGGGTCTGAGGGGATATTGTGCAGGAAATAGACTTTGTCCCCACCATTCAGCCTCCCATTCACTGAGGTCCCTCCTCCTGCTTCAGCCCACCTTCTTTCTGGCATCCACATCCTCTTTCTCATCTCCTCTCCTTCATCAAAGCAGGCTTTCAGAAACAGATCCAAAATATGTTCATAAGAAGGTGTAAATAACTGATACAAGTTTAAGGTATTACTTGTTAGAAGCAAATTTGTATTTTGACAAGGCTCAAAGCCTTTGCGGAAAAGAATAAATCCATAAATCTTTAATGGAGAAAGTTTAATTACATAGCAGGAGAAATGCTTGGGGTTGAGTGGAGTATACCTGGTTTTCCTGAAAGCATACAACACACATCTATTCTACTTAGACATTAACACACACACACACACACACACACACACACACACACACACACTCCTCAAACCTTATCTGTTTAATTCCAGGCAATATGTTAAGTACTTACATATACTTTCTCATTTAATTCTTACCCCCAGAAATTGTACGAAGTAGATATTTAGTGTCTCACGTACATCCTGGTACACACGAAGGTCAGCACATTGCCCAAACTTGCACGGCCTGTAAACATGGAGCTGGGATGCGAATCTACCCTCTTTCCACAGATCATGAAGCCCCCGGCAGGAATACTCCATCCTTGTGGCGAGGAGGAGTAGTTTTCCTGTTTGCCTCCTGGGTTGCTATGTTAAGGAACATGTAGAGCTTTAAGTACCTTTTCTTGTAAGTCATCTTTAAAAGGCCTCTTAATCATCTTTGTTTTTCTCTGAACTCCCCAGAGTCTGTGTGTGTCATCCTCATAATGATTTGCTTGAAATGAAACACAGTGGCCTGGTCTATTTTCACTTTTCAGCCTATGCAGGATATAAAAATAAACAGCATATGGTGAAAAGTTAATGAGATTTAAAAAAATAAGTTCACTTAAAATAATCCATGGGGTTTTCTACATGTGTTCTTGGTCTGGTTTCAAAAACCACAGGAGTTTTACTATGCTTTAGAAAAGGGTAAATATTTTGCATTGTTTCTATTGGGGTCAATGGGAAACCAATCTTGTAGAATCAGCACTAATAATCATGTTGTTTGTAAACAACTGCCATGCTAGACTAGTACAGACCAAGCCTTACTGTTATGTGCCCAAGCGTTAAAACATGTACATAGCAACTCTGCAATGCTCTCTACAGTTGCGAATCTCATGCCTACACAATAGTCCCTTAGCTAACAAGAATGAGGAAGTCTACCTGGAGGAAGATGGTAAGTCAGACAGACTTCCTTTCTTAGAGCAGTAGCCCTCTGAACACAGCTGGAAACATGTTACCTTGATAGGTAGAAACCACCTTTTAAGAAAAATGCTCTCTGCCTTATTTTTGTATTTTTTGGTGGGGGGCGGGGGGCGGCGTGCAGGGGGACAGGGTCTTGCTCTGTCACCCAGGGTGGAATGCAGTGGTACAAACATGTTTCACTGCAGCCTCAGACCTCCCGGGCTTAAGCGATCCTTCCACCTCAGCCACCTAAGTAGCTGGGACTACAGGTGCGTGCCACCATGCCCACCTTTTTTTTTTTTTAGAGATCGGGTCTTACTATGTTTGCCAGGCTGGTCTTGAACTGCTGAGCTCAATCCTCCTGCCTGGGCCTCTCAAAGTGCTAGAATTACAGGTGTAAGCCAACATGCCTGGCCTTCTCTGCCTTTTAAGTAATTTTTTAAGTTAGGAATCCTGTATTTATTTATTTTATTGAGACAGGGTCTCACTCTGTTGCCAAGGCTTGTGTGCAGTGGTGTGATCACTGCTTATCGCATCCTCCAACCTCCCAGGCTCAAGTGATCCTCCCACCTCAACCTCCTGAGTAGCTGGGACCACAGGCACATACCATCATGCTTAGCTGATTTTTGTATTTTTTGGTAGAGATGGGGTTTCGCCATGTTGTCCAGGATGGTCTCAAACTCCTGGGCTCAAGCAACCCACTCGCCTCAGCTTCCCAAAGTGCTGGGATTACAGGCATGAGCCACTGTGTCCAGCCTGTCTTTATTTTAAATGACCAGCATAGTCATTGCTGCTTTAGCTACATCAGTTCTCTGCTCTGAAAGAAACAATTAATTTGAAAATGCATGTAATAATTTTATTTGCATGTTTGGATTCAGCCATAAAATTATGTTGACAATTGAGCCCCCACTGTGGGTTCAGGAATGTTCTGAGTGTGGTAGACAATATAACAGAAATTGAAGACAGGGACTTTGTCCTTGAGAAATTGATCCATCCAGCTAGGGAGATGAAAATTACCTTAATAAAGTACAGTTATCAAACACTTCTGGTGTGCCAGGTGCTGTGCTCAGAGCTTTGAAGACCTTATTTCACTGAATCCTCAGAAACCTGGGGAAGTAAGCACTACTGCGATCTGTGTGTTATACAGGAGTAAACCAAGGTTTGGGATGTTTACAAACTCTTCAAAGGGTTGTTGTGAGGATTATGTGAGAAACCATAATGCATTATATCAGTTGGGTTTACATGTGATTTTCTACAAAAAAAAAAAAAAAAAGAAAGAAAAAGGGGGAAAAAAGACCAAAACAAAGCAAAAAATACCAGAAGCTTAAACAAGACAGAAGTTTATTCTTATTTCTCATACACGAAGTCAGGAGGTAGACAGCAGCTGAGCTGCCCTGAGCAGCTCCGCTTGAGCGTGTGGACGTACTGACTTCCAAGGGAATATGCAAAATGTCGATTTTTTTAAACAGGTGGTCATGTGCCCAGCTAAACACTGGGGCTTCTGTAACTAAAGGTGGGAAGAACAGATATTGGGTTAGTTAGGCAACTTGCTTCTCTGCCGTATGTATGCAAAGTGCCAGACACGGGATAAACATACTAAGTGGTATGTAATAACAGTTACAAAGCTCAATGCAGCCTAGAGGTGGTTTGGTTCATTGATTAAATACAACTCTTTGTGTCTGAGGTTTTCTCTTTTTTACGCTTGTGCACTATCCCTAAACAGGTAAGTGAATGAGAACAAGGGAGGGTGTACCGCAGGCCGGGGGCATCCCCATCCCCGCTTGGGCCAGCTTCTCCTTTACCTTTTCCAGAGATTCGAGGTGGTTTGCCCTAAGGTTTCACACCTGTGTGAAGGTGGCAGGAAGCAGCCAAGTCATGATGCAAAGCAAGGACGCTGCCCAGGCCTGGGCATTTCAGCTTCTGCTTGCCTCTCCTGCTCCCTCTCAGCACCTGTGAATGACAGCTCAGGTCTCTGGCAAATGGGAAAAACCCAGGACATGCCAGTCACATTGGACAAGACATCCTCTGTATCAGTGACAACAAGCAAGACGCCCCTCATGCTGTGCAAGCAGGTGGCCCTGAGAAAGGGTTGGTTGTAACTCATGGTTAGGTGTCTTGAATTTGGTCCATTTATTTTGAAAGGTTTTCCATGGATCATCTCAATCTCACAAATTCCTAGATAACAGAGAAGATGCTCAGGCTACAGAATGTTCCCACTGTGTGGAGTTGAGGAGTTGTCCTCCGCCTCTTAAACCTTGAAGCTTGCTTTTTCTTTTGAGACAAGTTCTCACTCTGAGGCCCAGGCTGGAGTGCAGTGGTCTGATCACAGCTCACTGCAGCCTCGACTTCCTAGGCTCAGGTGATTCTCCCAGCTCAGCCTCCCAAGTAGCTAGGACTACAGGCACATGTGACTGTACCTAGCTAATTTTTTTTTTTTTTTATAGAGATGAGATTTCACCATGTTGGCCAGGCTGGTCTCGAACTCCTGGGCTCAAGCTATTCGCCTGCCTTGGCCTCCCAAAGTTCTGGGATTATAGGCATGAGCCACCATGCCCAGCCTGAAGCTTTCTTTAGAGCTAAGTTTCTATGGTGAGCAGGGTTGGCTTATCAGAGCAGGGCTGGGAGAGCAAGCTGGGTAGGACTGATGGGTAGTGTGGAATGGTCTGGACGGCAGGGATAAAAGCTGGAATCTCCAGTTGCTTCATGCCAATATGGTTTGGGCAGGAAAGGGTGGAGAGGAAAAAGAGGAAAGAGAAGGCCTCGGCCCTGCCATCCTCTCACCTCCTTATCTAATCTACGACCTCATTCTTCAGTGTTACCTCCTCACTGTCTCTCTCATGGAGGCCACTGCTAGCATACATGGAGCTTTGTGTAAGTTAGAAAAAGACACCCCATTCTCCAGTGGACTCAGCTCTGTGCCAGGACTCAATGAGTAGCATGCAAGGCCCTGGCTGAATCAGAGCCCCCACCCACCTCCTTGGCCTTGAGCAGTGAGCAATCTGCACATTCTGAAGTAGTGGACTCTGTGGGGTCAGTTCACTTATCTCTATCCCCATAGTCCCTCTGGTCCCCATACAACTCCACCATCTCTCTTTTCTCACTTGGGCTATGCGCAATCATCACAGATAATTAGGAGAGCCATTTATAAAGAGGCCTACATTTAGACGCGGTGTTGTTGCCAGGTACAGTTATACATTTAGTCCTAGAGATAACAACAACTAGATTAAAAGATGTTCTTCATGTTTTTTGCTTTTTAGGTTGGGATCTATGATCAGCTCACACTGCCCTATGAATTAAAAAATAAATAAATCTTAAGATTTATTCTGCAAAAGGCATATTTGTATAGCATTGTATTCTTGAGTCTGTACATTAGGAATTTAAAAATGTAAACATTAAAATAAACATTTGTATGCTCCTCTTTTATGGTTTTAAAAAATATCATAATATCCTCAGAGCCGCAATAAATGAGAGTGGCCAGGCCGCCCTGGTCCCAGAGGTTTGAGCCCCGACTCCCGGGACCTGCCGCCCGATTCCAGCTCTGGCCGCACTGCCAACATGCTGTCTTCCTAGCAGTGGTTTCTTGCTATAACCCAGATCTGATGTCAGCCCCCTGCTTCAATGCCCTGGTTACTTCCCACTGCTTTTGGGTCACAAGCCCTGATTTAATTGGGCCTGGGACAAGCATGGTGGTCCCTGTCTCCCAGCATGCCTGCCCTCACCCTGCTCTCCAGTCCCACTTGCCTCCTGCCGTCTGCGGCACTCTTTCCCTTCTTTATTTAATGTTTTCTCCTCTTTCTTTAGTGTTCAGCCCAAGTCACATTTCCTCAGGGAAGCTGTCCCTCAGCCCCCAGTCTGCATCAGGCTCCTTGGCTATTTCCCTCATAGAACCCTGTACCTTTCCTTCAGAACCCATTGCTTTGTAACTCTCCATTAGTGATCATTCAATGAATGATCCGGTACATTCAATGTGGTCAAGTGTTATTAGTTTTTGTTGTTCACTCCAGTGCCCACAGCACCTAGCACAGGGCTAGGGCAGAGTAGGTGATAGACAGTTCCTTGTCAAATGAATAATTGGGGTTGAGGCAAGGAGTCCCCTTCCCAGATGCTCCTTGTGGGTTATGCTTTGGCAGGGAAACCTTTTGGCATGTCCGGTCCTTGAGAAAGAGGGTCACCTATACTACACAGAGTACAGCTTGACACAGGTGTCACCTGAGGGCCCAAGAAGATGCCAGGGAGAGCTCACTGAAATTTAAGTCTTAGAGTTACATGTTGCAATGTAACTTCAAGTTAGAGAGAGAAAAAAATTCTTTATATTTAACTTGGGCATTTTTAGGGGAATGGGTTAATAAGCAGATTCCTCAATGAAATTATGTCATTTTGGTATGAAAAGCATATAACCAAGTCCTTTGGCCCTGACCAAGACAATTAGATGACTGTCATAAACCCTTAAAGGTGCTCACTGACTCGCATAATGAATTAGAAACCAAGTCATCAGGTATAAGCAAGGTGAACTAAAAACGAGGAATGCGCTCCATTAATGCACGAGTTATTGTTATTTGGGACTTACTGTTTTTGAAACATAGTCTTATTCTCAAAGTTTACCTGTACTATAAAGCAATTAATCATTATCTGTGAGAGACCTAGAAGGCCTTCAGGTAAGTTCCTGAAACTTTTCTAGAAAACTGAGGTGATTCAACTGCCAAGTGACTTATTTGTATACCTGATTATATATGCTTACTACCCAAATATTTATTTTGAGGAACTAGAGTGGAGTTACCTATGCAGGACCTTTAGCCAGCCAGGCAGCATGTTATCACTAAGAACGGCCACAAAGATGACTACATGATGTGATGTAGAATACTGAAAAACACTGGTAGGTGCTCAGTAAGTGATTTTCACTAATGGCAAAATGATTGAGGACAGTACTGGAAATAAAAGCAGCCATTGAACACACATTTGTCTAAAAGTTACAAGAAATTTATAAATGAGGCTGTGATAAAGTCATTCAAAAGCGGACAGTCCAGGATAAAATAAAAAGTACAATGTATTAAAATGTAGTAAGGTGTTTCTTAATGTATTTCACTGGTGTTACTATGTTTCTAAGGAATTTGGAGAGAAACTGTAGTAGCCTGATGTTAAACTTAAGGTTCTGGAAGTCCAGACTCCACAGTGGTGGGTTCCAGGTGTCAAGTCGGAGTTGTGTCAGCGGGAGGATTAGGGTCAGCTGCCCGCTAATGGCAGCCAGCAAGCCTCCGCTGCAGGAAATGCTGCGGGATGGGGAAGGTCTGAGCTTGCTTCTTTACTGGCCAAATCCCATGTGACATTGAGGGGCAGACCTTAGTAGGTATGAGTGATTGTTAATTGTTTATCTCCCCTATGAAGGACAGGACCAAGGTAATTATCTTTCATTTTCAAGGCATGGCACAAGGTAGACTCTAGGTAAATTTGTTGAATGACTACATGCAGTGTATCTCCATCCAGGTTTATTATCCCCACAATAATTTTCTTAGTAAGTTTATTAGTGCTACCGTCTGCCATAGTTCCCAAATTTGAACTATTTTTTTTGCCTAGGCTTCTTTTTTTTTTTCAAATCCTACCTAATTGATTTGCACAGTTGTTTCAAATCAAATGCTACATCCCATATCTTGCAGTGACGCAGTTATTCACTGCTAACGTCTAAATCGGAGAAGTGAAAAGGACAATTGTTTCGTGCTTTCTTAAGTCCCTGACCAAGATCAGTAGGGAAATCCCATTAGCTCTATTCATCGCATTTCTCATAAATCTAAAAGGAAAGCAAGTATCCAAAGCTTTATTCTTTAATAGTTCTTATTTGTAAAACCTTGACAGGGCTTTATTCTAAATTGCTTCCAAATTACATAAAGAATAGTTAGAAATATGATGGGCAGTGAATCGTGATAGTTTCAGTCATCGAATAAATAAGTAGAACAGTAAAAGGGGACTAATCTGAAAGCAAACAGAGTATGATGGGCTACGATGAGGCAAAAAGAACAGAACTGTGGAATTCTTAAACTACCATCTGGCTCAATCCCCTTTAAGTGGCCAAGTTGAAGAGCCTTTTATTCAGTGCCCTAAAACTTATTCAAAAGGCGCAGTATTTGAATATTAATATTTCCATACAGTAAAAAAAAAAGTCTTTTGTAACCAAAAAGGAATGTTTAACAAAATAATGGGTAATCCTCTGGCTAAACATGAGGGCGTGGGGAGCACCCTGTGGGTGGGAGGTCGGCTGGAACCCAGGGTGGCTGCGGGCAGCCTCCGGGCCTTCCCCTCATGGCTTCTTTGTGGTTAGGGTAACTTATTAAAGTTGTCATTGTGGTTTGAAATTTAGGCAAGAGGTGTAAAATTAAGGAATTCATTAGGAAAAATGAGCGCAGTGATTTCTAGTACCTTATTTCATCAAAAAGAAACAATAAGGTAGAATTGCCATATGAGATAGTTGAGGCAAGGAACACAATGGAAATTTGAACCTGTGGTTGAAATTGTGCTTTTGTGTAATGGGAACCTATTTCATCACTTTGTAACAGACCCCTGACAATTGGTGTTTTGTTTGTTAAGCCCTGGATGTTTAAATGAAACTAAACAGGCTTTTATTTTGTTTTCCTGAGGTGTGTATGAAAAGTTGAGCAAATTCGAGTGCACTTCTTATCTTCAGCAAAGATGCTTTAGAAAGGTATTTTAGCATTCTCCGTGGTTTAAAAGACAAAACCAAGTCCTGCCGGCTTTGTGTTGTGCTTCTCCTACAGGCTGCAGTGCCTTCTGTCTGCTTTAGGGTGTGGCATCTGCCATTGGGGAGGAAAAACTGGCATGTGTCGCCTTTTATAGCAGACTGATTTCATTGTGCTGGGGGCCTCTATTTTATAGTCTCTTAGTTCCAATCTTCTAGTTGACTTGCTGAAGCAAATGGAATTAAAAGAGATTTTGACTTCTCTACTAATTTTTTTTTAGTTTCACGATTTGCCAATATGAAAAAATATTTTAAGGAAAAGGGCCATAGCTGAACTTGGTGACTCATTTTCCCTTTTAGGATTAGTTGTGAAAATAAGCCACAACATATGGCTACACTTGTATGAACTGACTTTGATATATTTTATCAATTTGAAAAAATGCACTTTTAGGATGATGTGTACATACTTAGTTTGACTATGTCTAAAAGCATAAATATGTAATTGATTTTAGAATATATGTATATACACACAAAACAGACATATATTTATATTTGCATATGAAAAACTAAAAATTCAACTTCTGTGGTGTAATGCGTATAATTAGTATGTATTTGAATATATAAAGGGAGAAAATCCAGGAAAAAATGTCAAAAAGGCACACTAACAAAGATGTAGTATTCTCTTGGCAAAAACTGATGAATGATTTGGCACGAATTCATCTTATGGTTCTGTTATTCTCTCTAACACACGATGATATATCCCGTTTTCCAGTTGTTTGCGTAGAATTGCAATTTGTTGTTTCTACACTCTATAATGACCCTTGGGTGTGCACCTGATTCCCTCCCCCCGACCCCAATTAGTCACCAGTTTTCCCATCAATCCTTTTCTATTTAGTCATGTAACATATTTACACTTGGTCAAACAAATAACCACTGCTGCAGTGGAAATGAACTAAAATAGTTTTTATGGAAAGCTGAAGAATGAAATAATTTTGGAAAACTATACTCTACCAAAACCGTAAGTATTGTTTCTGCCAGGTTTTAAATGCTTTCTCTCAATGAAAACTGAGTCCACACTAGTACAAGTGGGTCATTGCCTAAGGTTAAGAAGTCTTGCTTTTTAAAATGTTACTAGGGGACAATGCACATATTGAAAACATTAATAACAATGCAAATATTAAAAACATTATAAAATGTTAATAGACACCAATTTTTAAGAGAACAAAGTATGGAACATTTCTACATTAGGACTAGAGTTGACTGTTTTATATTATTATTGAAGTTATATTTATTAAATATAATGTCTATAATATTTTAGTTTCGTTCCACATCTCTTTGAAATGAATGTATATCGAGAGGGTTAACTGTGCACACGAAGCTCTGAAACATGATGAAAGGTGTCATATAGATTTATGAAGATACGAGCTAACCCATAGCTGTCGCTGTTCTGGCACCAAGAGTTAAATGTTCATGTGAAAGTTGGCGCAGAAAACACCACTGTACATACTCCACAGAGGACATCCAAGTGCATGTAAGAAAAATGCTCCTTTGGGAATACGTGGACATATTCCTTTGGAAATACACTGACAAACCTACATACGTGTTTAAGGTGCCTTCAAAAAGAGTTATGTAAACATTCTCTTTGGGGCGGGTGCAGTCAGTCATAAGCATTTATTGAGTACCTACTGGGTACAGGCCATAGGGCTCTCTGACCGGGGCTAACCTTCATTTCAAATCTTTCCTAATTTTGCAGTTGGAAGAAGTTGTGGGAATTACGCCGATGGCCCGAAATCAAGGCAGAGGCGAACGTTCTGAAAATTACATAACTCCTGGGAGAGACCGTGCTTTTGCAGATTGCCTAAATATTTTCTTTCTCCGTCGGCTCCTTGTAACCTCTGAGGCCAATAGACAACTTTGTTTCCCAGCCCTTCTCCCTCTTTTGTCTGCTCGTCAGACTCGTTTTCCACCTTTGTATCGTTCCTTTTAGACGTGAAAACAAACATGCGAACGCCCGGTTGGCAAGGAGACAGCGGCCCGGGGGGAAAGTGCAGGTTCCGGCCGCCCCACGCCGCCGCGCTCCGAGCGGCCGCCGAGCCGCCCCGGCCCCGGCCCCGGCCCCAGCCTTAGCCCAAGCCCGGCTGGGTCCCGCGAGGCTGCGCCGGGGCGGGCGGCGGCGGCCCGGGGACGAGTCCAGTCCGCGTTTTGCGAGTGCGCGGGAGTAATGCGAGCGAAGTGGATAATAGTTGCTCGAGCTCGCCCGCTGCCTCTCAAGCCATGCTGGGCCCGATAGGCTCAGCTAGTCGTGTATTTACCCATATCCGGGCTAGAGAGGAAAAGAGAAAAGTTTCATTTAAACCTGAACTAAAAACTTTCACCATGAAAGCACACAGCAGGAGCAGGCCCAGAGCGTAAGGCGTGCCCGGCCCGGCGCTCCGGCGGGGCCTGCGGAGGGGGAGGGGGTCGCGGCTTCCCGGCGGGCCGCGTGGATGCGCACAGGAGGGGCCGCGGCCTGAAAAGTGGGGGTTATTGTCTCCCCCCGCCCCCCGCCCGGCCTCGCCACGCCGCGGCGATCATGGCCGCGCGGGCAGCAGCGGCGGCGGCGGCGGCGGCGGCGCGGGCGCGGGCGCGGGCAGGCAGCGGCGAACGGCGGGCGCCCCCCGGGCCGCGGCCGGCGCCCGGAGCCCGGGACCTGGAGGCGGGGGCGCGCGGCGCGGCGGCGGCGGCGGCGGCACCGGGACCCATGCTGGGGGGCGGCGGCGACGGCGGCGGCGGCCTGAACAGTGTGCACCACCACCCCCTGCTCCCCCGTCACGAACTCAACATGGCCCATAACGCGGGCGCCGCGGCCGCCGCCGGCACCCACAGCGCCAAGAGCGGCGGCTCCGAGGCGGCTCTCAAGGAGGGTGGAAGCGCCGCCGCGCTGTCCTCCTCCTCCTCCTCCTCCGCGGCGGCAGCGGCGGCATCCTCTTCCTCCTCGTCGGGCCCGGGCTCGGCCATGGAGACGGGGCTGCTCCCCAACCACAAACTGAAAACCGTTGGCGAAGCCCCCGCCGCGCCGCCCCACCAGCAGCACCACCACCACCACCATGCCCACCACCACCACCACCATGCCCACCACCTCCACCACCACCACGCACTACAGCAGCAGCTAAACCAGTTCCAGCAGCAGCAGCAGCAGCAGCAACAGCAGCAGCAGCAGCAGCAGCAACAGCAACATCCCATTTCCAACAACAACAGCTTGGGCGGCGCGGGCGGCGGCGCGCCTCAGCCCGGCCCCGACATGGAGCAGCCGCAACATGGAGGCGCCAAGGACAGTGCTGCGGGCGGCCAGGCCGACCCCCCGGGCCCGCCGCTGCTGAGCAAGCCGGGCGACGAGGACGACGCGCCGCCCAAGATGGGGGAGCCGGCGGGCGGCCGCTACGAGCACCCGGGCTTGGGCGCCCTGGGCACGCAGCAGCCGCCGGTCGCCGTGCCCGGGGGCGGCGGCGGCCCGGCGGCCGTCCCGGAGTTTAATAATTACTATGGCAGCGCTGCCCCTGCGAGCGGCGGCCCCGGCGGCCGCGCTGGGCCTTGCTTTGATCAACATGGCGGACAACAAAGCCCCGGGATGGGGATGATGCACTCCGCCTCCGCCGCCGCCGCCGGGGCCCCCGGCAGCATGGACCCCCTGCAGAACTCCCACGAAGGGTACCCCAACAGCCAGTGCAACCATTATCCGGGCTACAGCCGGCCCGGCGCGGGCGGCGGCGGCGGCGGCGGCGGCGGAGGAGGAGGAGGCAGCGGAGGAGGAGGAGGAGGAGGAGGAGCAGGAGCAGGAGGAGCAGGAGCGGGAGCTGTGGCGGCGGCGGCCGCGGCGGCGGCGGCAGCAGCAGGAGGCGGCGGCGGCGGCGGCTATGGGGGCTCGTCCGCGGGGTACGGGGTGCTGAGCTCCCCCCGGCAGCAGGGCGGCGGCATGATGATGGGCCCCGGGGGCGGCGGGGCCGCGAGCCTCAGCAAGGCGGCCGCCGGCTCGGCGGCGGGGGGCTTCCAGCGCTTCGCCGGCCAGAACCAGCACCCGTCGGGGGCCACCCCGACCCTCAATCAGCTGCTCACCTCGCCCAGCCCCATGATGCGGAGCTACGGCGGCAGCTACCCCGAGTACAGCAGCCCCAGCGCGCCGCCGCCGCCGCCGTCGCAGCCCCAGTCCCAGGCGGCGGCGGCGGGGGCGGCGGCGGGCGGCCAGCAGGCGGCCGCGGGCATGGGCTTGGGCAAGGACATGGGCGCCCAGTACGCCGCTGCCAGCCCGGCCTGGGCGGCCGCGCAACAAAGGAGTCACCCGGCGATGAGCCCCGGCACCCCCGGACCGACCATGGGCAGATCCCAGGTAACCCTCGCGCCAGCCGGGCCTGCTTCCGCCCGGCGGCCTCGCCGCGCCGCGAGCCTGAGTTTCTTTCTTTGCCGCGTACTTTTCCCCGTCTTCCCGCGGGGGCGGCGGGGGCGCGGCGCCCAAAGCCATCTTGACGGGCGGCCGCCTCCCGCCGCGGTCGGGGCGCCCCGGGGGCCGGCGCGCTGTCCAGGCCTGGGAGGGCTTCGCCGGGCCGGGCCGGGCCGGGTGGCTTCTACCCCGCCGGCCCGCACCCGCGTCCCCCCCCTCCCCCAGGCCCGGGAACGCGAAGCGAGATCCCGAGGCGCCACCCGCGCGGTCGCCGTTTGGGGCGGCGGGGACCGTTCGGGTGCTTTTGTAACAAATAGGCTCTCCCGGCCAGGACGGCTGGGGCGAAGAGCCACCCGATCGGTTCTGGGAGCGCCCACAATGTGCTTTAACGGGGGAAAGAATGAGGAACTTTCTCACACCTTTAGCCACAGCACGTTCCCTCTTGGCTTCCGAGGTCCAGGCAGGGAAAATAGGTTAGCTTTGTGACAAGCGAGTGGGTTTTTCCTACTTAGGGAGAGCCATTCAGAGACACTCGGTGCGGGCTTCGAGCTCGAACGTTTGCTGGTAGGAATAATAACAAAATTTACAACGACATGGAGGTGCAATATTGTAAAATACATCGATTCGTTCCTTAGAATAGCCAGGGAAATCCATTATTGGGCTTACGGGCTGCTTGCAGGGAGTCACCTTCAACAGGCAGGCTATGTGAAAGGAGCACGTTCCGGATCAATTGAACTTATTTTGATCATGGATTAGGCATGCATTTTATTCAGCAAATCCAGTAAGATAGCAGACCAGTGAAAATTGATCTTTTGGGATCGTATTTATTTGGATTTTCTTTATTTTGCTGTCACCCGAGTCCTACAGCGCTGTTAGGAAGTGTCCTGCACTCTTGCTGTTTCTTGCTAGTAGGCTGAGCCTAAAGACTGACTTGATCTCCTTTGCAAGGTTTGGAATTTGAATTGTGGAGGTAAACTGGCTGTAATAGTCTCCAGACAGCTGCCTCTGAGTTGACATCTAATCTGCCATCTGATTGGCTCCCCTCTCACCATTGGGCATTTAGCACTGCTGATGTAAATAGAAGTGCTGAGCAGTACAGTCACAAAAATTCTTGCCACAAATAATAACTGAGCTCTATTACAAGCAAATGTAAGGTTCAGTATTTAAAGCTGAAACTATTATGAATCATAGTTATTAATAAGAGGATCAAATACAGAAAAACAGTTCGCTGGTGTCCAGTATTGGGCATTTACAAAATTCAGATCTTTGATGATAGTCTTAGAATATGCACATTACATATATCATAGACTTTAATTGGAGGCTGAGGATAAGGCCATTGAAAAATAAGTAAACCACGAATTTTACCAATTTTTGGATTTGTAAAGCCTTTATAAAAGTCTTCCCTTTACAAATTCAACTATGGAAAAATTTGAATTCTGTCAGCACACGCAGCTTAATAAAACCTTAAAATTTTTTTAAGATTTTGATAGGCAGCAATATATTTTGGTGATGTGTAATTCACCTGATAAACAAGATTTAAGCTTCATTTTTTTGTGATTTATCAGTTCTGACTGTTCAAAGATATTTGTGGATGAGGAGTTTTGGTTAGAATTGACATATTTAAAAAACGAAATGAGGAAACCACATATTTGTGCAGATAACAATAATTAAAAGGGGAAAAATGAGATATTCCTGTGAAATACTAAGAATCATTTCATATTTGCTTTTGATGTGGAGAATACAGAAATGCCCCATAATCTTTTTTTTTTCTTCATTGTTTTGTTAGATTAGGTAATTTGAGCCTTGTTTGAACTGCTTACACGATGAATTAGGGAAACTATATTCTAAGCAAGTTGTGCTGGGTGTCTTTTTTTCCAAATAATTTTTCTTTCATGTTAATGCTATGAAAGTTTAAAAAATCCTAATCTGTTAGAGAGGAACAACAGTCGTTGTATGTATATTTTTATGTAACTCATTTATTTTAGGAAGAGGTATTTTAACAATAATCATACCTTAGAGACTTGTCAGAGTGAAGGAAGGGCTGAATTTAACAAATAATCTTGTGAATCCTAGGCTGAACACTGCTGTCCACTGCTTTCAGATCTTTAGTTATTGGAGTTTTGCTTTTAAGGATAATAGATTTTTCTATTCTTAATAGAAAACTTGTGATTTCAACTTGTTTTTGATTCACACGAGGAAAAACATTATAGAGAAGAATCATGGAAATAAACCCACGTAATTAATTTTAAAAAGGTTTGCTTTGTCAGCCTGCTTTTAAAGGAGCAGTTTAAAATTCACATCTTCGTAAACTAGAGACGAATGAAGTTAGAGGCAGATGTAGGACCATGTTACTTTAGAGTATTTTTTTCTTAATGGTACCAATCATTTTCAGTATTTTGTTTTCTTGTAATGAGAATGAATCCATTATGTCCCTATGACCCTTGGGAATAGGCTTTTTTTTTTTTTTTTTTTTTTTTTTTTTGTTGAGGTTGGGGGAAATATGGACATGCGACCTAGATTCAGGAATTTCTTTTAAGTACCTTACCGTGTAACATGTGGAATGTGTCTTTTTTACAATCCTTTTTTTTCTTTTCTTTTTGGAAGTTAGTATTATTTAGTATTAGTTGTTGTAATTATACTAAGAAACAGTCATTTGTCCAAAATATTAAATTACTGCCTGACTGTAGGTCATGAAATGCTATTAAATCACATTGTTAAATGATGAAATATTTTGGCTTTTAATATGTTTTTAGTTTCATTTTTGATTTCAGGAAATAGTTTCTATTGGGTGGCAAATGTTTTCGTAATTGGGACAAAACGTGTATATATTATAGGAGAAGGGTCTTTTTAAAAAGTGAAATAAGCCATTTGACGATTCAGTTTATTACTAGATTTTTGTAAGATGAGTATTCAGATGGAGCAGTCTCAAAAGGAATATTGAGGTCTACTCACGCACATAGGTTTTATGATGTCCACATTTCTACTGAATTCCATAAATGCAGTTTTAACTTTTAGTTTTATAAAACGTAGTACAATGTATTAAGAAAAGGGCCTTATTTACCATTAGAAGAAAAGTGATTAGCTAGCATGCGAAGCAGGAAGCTACAAACTGGTTCCTGATTACCTTAAAATGTGTGTGAGATACATTATTTGATAAAATCACTCCCAGTTAAATTTTAGGGTGTCTGATATTTTAAATCTTGTAAACAAATTTTTGTGGCCTAAATTTATATATTTGCCAAAGTATGGATGGCTGTGTATAGTTAGAAAAGGTGGACTTAGTAACTGTGGCTAATGGAAAGGGCCTATCATTTAAAAAACAGGAAAAGAAAATATAACAAATGTCTGCAGTTTTGTTTTCTGAATCATCTGGGATGAAATTATGCATGGCTTAAAATCGTTTTCATTGGGAGTCCTGATTTTTGTGGTACATACTTTTGACAATATTTTGGTAGTTTTTTTTTTTTAGTGGTAGCCACTCTTTAAGACAGCTATCACTTAGGTTTATGTTTATATTAATACTACATCAGTAAGTATATGCTAGGGACTAGCACATCCTTACCTTGAATCTATAATGAGGAACCTTAACCCCTCTTTGCTTTGGCTCTGCTTGTCTATATTTAGTCATGAATTTTTGGCAAGGCTTTTTATACTTGTTCCATTTTTCTCAATGTCATAGTGTATCAGAAGTGTGTTATGGATGTGGAAATAATGCAGATCACACTTGGACACTTTTACTAATATACTTAACCTCTGAATGTCATTTTCCTTTACTGAAATTGAAGAAAATAACGTCTTTATTCTGATATTTAAAAAAAAAAAACATTAATTCTGATTTGAGAACTGATTTTAAAAATGTAAGACAATGTAGAGGAAGACTTAATATAAGCTCATTTGATCGTTTTATTAGACACAGATACCTTTTAAAGAGAATAGGTGTAATAGAATGCGGTTGAGTTTTCAGTTCTATTTTTTATTAATAGACTTTATTTCTTTATGATTCTGGGCAGGGTGTATCTATCTAAAAAGATGACTTCTGATGTAATAGGAACACTTGCTTTCCTAGGATAAATTCCAATATCACAGGCAAACCGAAAAGATGATCATTTCATTTATTTAACCCTACCCTTTCCTAGGAGATGAGTGATTTGATGAACATTTGTTAGGGTTCCATGAAATTTTCTACTCCGTTTGGAGACTCACTGGGGATGTAAATTTTGGATGTGCTGGCCTAGGACTCTGTATTCGCTTTTTTGCCGGTGTCCTCAATCTGGAGGCTTTTCTTGCAGCTCTACACTGGACTGACACTGCTCAGCTCATGGGGTTGTGTGCTTTGATCCATGTGGGTGGAAAAGGGACTGATATTTCACTCGTGTCACTTTTGTTTTGGAGTGTATGTGTAGATTTGTAAATTTGAGATTGATATTTATGTTTGATAGAAGTGTGGTGTGTTGCATAAAATGACAGATTTATGGAGGCTGAAAATATTAATAAAACTTAATTCCATTTTTTTTTTGCAATATTTAGGTTTTCCAGTTGGATGTTATAAAATTTTTATGACATTTTACACTGCTGTTATTACTCAAGGGGCCGTATCCACCTCTTAGGCCTTTTTGGGATTGGGTGGTTTTGGTTGCATGCCTTTTCGGAGGTGCCCTTTCCTGAATGGGAGGGAGGTTTTTGCAGGTTCTCTGTGGATATGTAAAGTAGTGCCGCACGCTTGCTGTGTGTGCTTGCTTGAGGCTGAGGAATCCCAAACCCTGTTCCCTGTCGTGTCCGGGAGAGGCACCAGGCAAAACTGTTCCTCTACCAAGAATATATTTCTGTATCATAGATGTAGAACTATTATAAATATCTTTTCTCTAGCTTGGAGGCTATTTGAATGAGACTCAATGGCCCTTTTGGTTTAATTGGGTAATTGAGTGAATTAATTCTGATCTAAAAACTTGGTGTACTTTAGCAACTTTTTCTTCAGGAAATTTGGTAAAGATAAAATGACTTAGGTATCAGTCATTACCTGAGTGTCCTAAGTATTCATTTGTTTTTCCTTATACTGACATCTGAATGAATGGAATGATAGACATATACTATATAGTTTTAATTAGCAATTCACTTTGAGTGAGTGAATTTTTTCAGAGTAGAATATGTGTTTCCACTGTAAGTTTTCACTAAATATGTTCTATTTTCAAAATCTTTGACTTGGAGTAATTCTAAGAAAATTCTTTCCTTACATTTAGTTATTTGTTTTTCTTTTTGAGACAGGGTCTCACTTTGCCACCCAGGTTGGAGTGCAGTGGCGCGATCTTGGCTCACTGTGGCCTTGACCTCCCAGATTCAAGTGATTCTCCTGCCTCAGCCCCGCAAGCAGCTGGGACTACAGGTGCACGCCATCACACCTGGCTAATTTTTGTATTTTTCGTAGAGATGGGGTTTCGCCATGTTGCCCAGGCTGGTCTCGAACTCCTGACCTCAAGTGATCCACCCTCCTCGGCCTCCCAAAGTGCTGGGATTACAGATGTGAACCATCCTGCCAGGCAAGATTTACTTACTTAAATAGGATCCAGTAGGCAGTTTTCAAACCCACATCTGTATGGATCAATGCCAAGAATATTAGAAGGCTACTGAGTTTGACAGATGAACTAATGATGAAATTAACTTGTTTCTTGGATGAGATTTATTACCAGGCACCAGACTAAAGCCCTAAAATCTTAAGCCTATCTGGTTTATGAATAGCTACTCTTATTTCCATTATTAAAATCAGGTAGATGGCAGCAGAATCTGGAGGAGATTCACCCTCTGTTGACCATCTTCTGTAAGGTGCACTTCTCAGTGTCTTCCTGGGCCTTGATGAATGATGAGCTGGAGAACTAGACCAGAAGCCATTCCTTATCAGGTGACTCTGGAAGGGAAGCCATATTTGATGAAATCCAGAAGAAATCCTGGACCATAATGCTACATTTTTTCTTTTTTTGTAATGGGATGCTAAAAAATTAAATATATGGTTTTTTTTTTAAATAGAGGTAAGCTATACGTACATAACATACAACTTACCATTTGAACCATTTTTAGGCATACATTCCAGTGGCATTAAGTACATTGTCATTGTTGTGTGGCTGTCACCATCATCATCTATCCCCAGAACTTTTCCTTCTCAAACTGAAATAAAAATATTTTTCTCTTTCTTTTAAAATTGTTAGCTGCTAATGTGTATTGTAAGTAAAATAATCTTGTTTTTGTAACCATTAATCTTATCACTTCATAGTTTGTGAGTAAATTCTTCCGCAGACATTCCATCAGGATGCTAATGGTTTTTTTGTTTGTTTGTTTTTGTTTTTTATTAGTACATTACTTCCTCTCAATTCTAACTTTGGGGTAATCCTCATAGAGTTTGAGGATCTCTTTGGAGATGTGTATTACAAAGGTTAGTAGTTTCACTGCCAGTTATGTTATTAAAATTTTGAAAAGCAGCTTTTTGGAACCTTTCTAAAGTTTAAAGGTTGAGGGTATTTGTTGAGAGAAACCTGGGACTTGGTTAGATAATAGGGTGTGGAAATGAACTGTTACCATTCTCACTTTTCCCTTGCTTTTCTTCCCTCACCTTTTGCATTTGTAGTCTCTTAAAAATTATTAATTTTATTTTCCCACTATTAGTGAAAATCATTTATAGTGATATTTTTTTCTATTCTTTCTGTGTTTGAAGTTTCTGGGCATCTCACCCCTACCAACCCAGAGCAAACCCAGAGTCTAGGTGGTGCCATGTCCTTTTCCATAGTGTTCTCTGCCACCAAATTTGTGCCTCCCCCTCATGTTTTTACTTTTTAGTCCTCTGCAAAACTTCAGAAATTCTTTGTATGTGGAAAAATTACTAAATTAAGATGATTGACCTTTTAGAATTACATTTTAAAGGCAGCTGTGAAGGGAGACTTCTAGATCCTGCCTAGTCTCATGAACAGGCGTCTTTGGTTTGTGTAAGGTATTGGAATTGTACTGGAATTGCTGCTGATGCTGATAGGTAGTCACATCTTTGTAAGATCAGTTATGTACTTTAACACCAGCTTCCACAGAGAGGAAATGAACTGTTACTTAAGAGCTTGTACTGGGAAGCAATAGTTATTTCTTTAAGGTGTAAACATTTAGCATTTGTGTATGCAGTGAGGTATATGTTAGATAAATATCTACTCCAGACAGTCAATTGGCAAATATTTATTGAGCTCCCACTTTCTTAATCAGCCCTGTGCCAGAGACAGACAATAGCTGGGGTCTGGGGATTGCTGCTGTTGGTGTGCGGATCATGCAGAGATACTGCTAACGCTTGCTCCCTCCATACCTGGATCGTGGTATTGCTGACATCATTGACTTAGAACTGGCTCATTTAAACAAATTGCAGATAGCAACCATGTGGGTCAGCAGTCTATTTGGCCTGCTTTTTTTTTTTTTTTTTCCGGTGGGGCAGTATATTTTGGCAAAACAAAATCTGGTCAACAACAATTGTAGGTTGTTGTGATATAGTTGATGTGATCTAGTGACTCTTTTCCATTTCTACCAATCAGTTACTGGCTTTGTGCCAGAGCGAAATATAGATTCACTACCGAGAATAATAACTAAAAGAAGGAAAATATAATCACTTTCAAATTTATATAGAATGGTCCTTTTTCTTTTTCTCAGTTTTCTACATTACATAGATTCTTGGAAAAAAAGTTAAAACAGTCTGTTCAGATTTAGGAAGATACTTGGATTGCTGGGGTATTTTTGGTAACTGTTTAGATAATGTATGCTGGCTGAGGAGTAAATTCAGCTACTGCTTCTGGGTCCTGAAATAAACCTTTCAGAAAGCGAGGCATTGATGATTAGTGGAGGCAGTTCCAGAATTCTTAGTATCTACTGTTTCTTTTTGTGATGAGCATCTTAGAAGTTAAACCACTCACCATATTTCATAGCCTTATATTGAAATGATTGTTAATTCTAAAATTCATTTAGAAGCTGGCGTCTAATTTGTGAAATCTTGAGAACCACCTTTTAAGATTCAGTGACCATATATCAAGCTACACACCCATTTTAATGCCCTTTAAATTTTCTGTTACCACTGGTATATTTTATAATAAATTCACTCTAACTAATGAATTATAAATGACCTTGGAAATAGGAATGTGGAACATTGCTACTGCTGAGCAAGTATCTTTCTGAAGAAGCAGACATAATTCCGAGGGGACTGGCATGTTTGCTGTGTATTAGTTTATTTTGGTGATTCTGAGGATTTGTGAGCGAATAAGCTTCTATGATGAGGCATCCTGACACAATGGTAAGATCATGGGCTTGGAGCTGGTCAGACCTTAGCTCATTTGGAGGCCTCAGCACCCATTTTCTCTGCACTCCAGCAGGGGGTCAGTTTCCTTACCTGGAATGTTGGCTGCTGGGCAGGGTTGTTGAAAACCTTCACTGAGGTCATGGATGTCTATCTGTGGCATCTGTATGTGGCCCCTCTCTTCTCTGCCTACCTGCCTTCCCATGTGGGGCTTGTTTTCTCATTCTCTGCCTGGTCCTGCTGTACTTCGGGGTGTGGCTGACTCAGGACAAGCCCTTGCTGGCATCAATTAGGTGATGCTCAGCCCCTCCCAGCTCCAAAAATCTGTGCTGCTTTGAATTTTTAAACAAATAGTGCCTAATCAGCTATGCACCGCTGAACAGCTTATTAAACCACACTAGATCCCAGACATATTCTGTGAATATAAACTGAGACCTGTGCAAATACATAGATTTTTGCATTCCACTGTAGTTTCCCTTACAGAATGTGGTTTTGTACTGATTGGGACTCTTGCTCAGCAGTTGTATAAATTGGTTTTGGTTTACCCACAGAGCCTACGGCTGATGCCATTGGCCCCAAGCTGCTACCCCATTCAATATCCCATCCCTAATATTAATTAGTGGTCTCTTCTCTGGCCAACAATCATTCCTCTGTTATACTTCCTAAACCTTCCCACTTTGATGATCTGCAAAAAATGACTGGCTTTTTAGGAGAATTACTTTTTGCAAAGGAACGAAGTTGCAAAAATTTAAAAGTAGGCTTCTTGGAGATTTTGGGTGCTAGACTTTGGTCTCTCATTAGCTAAGTAACTTGCTTCTGTGTTTGCTTCATCTTCACTGAATATATGATTTAGACTTGATCCTTAGCAAAATTATAATTTACTATGCATGGAGGGTTAGGGCTGCTCTTAAATAGTCAAAACAGGAATGTCAAATCTAAGAGTACCGGGGTCCTCCCTCAAATATATAAAGAGCAATTTTTTTTAAATGCTGAGATTTATAAAACTATCAGGGACAAAATGTAATTCTATTATGAACAAATACTTACTGAGCACCACTTGGTGCTTAAGATACACAGAGTAAAGATGACATATGATCCTTAATTTTCCCAGGTGTATTATCATAGACTCCTGGTGTTTTACAAAGTGGAAATTAAAGTGAATGGCTACAGTTTTCTTCTGTAGTTCTTATGCAAAAAGACTATATTCCTCAAAGTGCACCATCTAAGAAGTATTTATGGAGTAAATGATGTATCCAAGCTGAAACTTTCCTAACGAATGTATTATTCATTTCCAATATCAGTTGCAAGGAAATCCGTTTGGTCAGTATTTGCTATTCTATGTGGAAGGTCAGTGTACTTGGAGATTGTTCTTTGGTGCTGTGACGTTGATGAGAAAGTGATCCTAATTTGGATTTTGTATTGGGTGTCATTCATATGGTGATTTTTCTGCTAAAGAAAAGCCTTCACATCAGTAACATGAAGGATTTAATACTCAGTTCATTTACTTCACTGTATTGAACTGTGTGCGTCAGGGCTTTGGAACTATAGATTCGTGTCATCACAGCAATAATGTGGGCAGAAGGCACATGTTTGTGAAGAGCTCACTGTGTGCCAGGCATCATGCTGGGTGATGGGATTCTTTGGTGACCTCCACAAATGGACAATGCAGGAATTAAGGACAAGTAAACATGCTACACAGTAAGGTGTAAAGGATTTTGTGAAAGAAGTTTTGATGTTAGAGGGTCACTTTATATAGATTAGGTTGGGGTGGAGTTGAGGCAGGAAGGCTCCTACAGCAAAGGAGGTCTGATGAGCTAAGACTTGGTTAATGAGAAACAAACAGTGAAGGTAAAGAGGCATGGGGCTTGGGGCAAGGGCTAGAGCCAAAAGCTGGCAGGTTAGAGAGCACTGGAAGATTATGCATTTACTAGCTGTGTGACCTCAGGCAAGTCACTTCGCTTCTCTGTGCTGTGTGGTTTCCTCATTTGTCAAAGAATGGGAAAGGATACTTAACTCATGGAATTTTCATGAGGACTAAACTTTATAAGAAACGTGTATGCTGCTTGGCAATGAAAAGGACCTTTTAATAGAGTAACAAAGGATTGTATTTTCTCATGAATAAGGAATTAAAATGAGTTAGAGGCAATTCTCTATTAGTTAATTTAACAAGTTACTTAGCAGCCTATCGGTCTTTCAGAGCAAATAGGTTTATATTTGAAGCTTAGTTCTAATCCATACCATGGCAGTTTTCAAATTTCCTGATATGTTTTTACCTTGTCCAGTGTTAGGAAAAGTAAGTTATTGAGCAATTCTAAAATGTTTACTGTAGTTTGCCTGTTTTTTAAGCAGTCATATTTTTAACTGGTGAGGAAATAAATTCAGAAGATTTATAATTGAAGAATTTAATTTTCCTACCATCAGTAAACATTTAGTGACGTTGGTGTAGGGGCACTGTACCACAGAAGTAGATATCCAGAAAATATTTGTAAATTGTTAAACATTGTATTAATTGTTGAGCATAGAGTGATGTCCTTAGATTACTGAGTAAACAGTGGTGATTAAATTAATTAAGATAGTTTGTGGGGTGTTTAAATTTTACTTAGTATTCCATTTAATTAGAAATACAGACAATAACTCTGGCCTCATAAGCAATCTGAATTTTGAGTTGAAGGAAATGGGTGTCTGGCAGACAATTTCCAAATTGGTAAAATGGATCTTTTGCTTCTACTTTATTTTCTTCATGTATTAAACAAGTATTTATTATTGTTGACTGTTGGAAAATTTTAAAAATTACAGTCATACTTTTTATGACTTTGCTGGGTGTGGAAATCATCCCTTTCCCCCCATCTTAGTGCCAACTGCCTTTAACCTGAATTGGCTGATGCAGAACGCATTTCAGGAAGGCGCCATGCATACAGGAGGCAGAGACATGCCCTCTGCAATCCTGACTTTTCCTCTTTCACCCATGTCTATTGTATATGGCAAGACTCTGTCCTTCCTCCTCCACTCTGATATTGGTCGGAGACACAAGCACTTAGAAGCACCAGTGTTTTATTCTACAATTAATTACTGAAGAGGGAAATTGAAAGGTAAGCAGTTTTGTGTTTTATCTTTTATTATGCATTAAGTTTCTGTAATTTTCCATATTGCTATATTATTAGTGAGAAAGAGAAGAATAGAGAAAGATGGAGAAGATGAATTTTATTTAAGACAGTTATATTTGGATAACTTAAAAGAATATGCTTTTTTAGTCTAAATACCCTTTCCCAGTCTAAGTAGTTTCATGCTTCATGGAAAAACTAATGCAAAGAAGTTGTAATCAGCTGTTAAGATATTTGAGCCAGCTGGCTGTCAATATGTTGAAGTTTTATTCTTGGTGCATCCACAAATTCCATATAAATGTATTTTATGAAGAGGAAGGTGTACTAGCATGGCTAAACTGGTAAAGCTGAAATCTGGATTTGATTTGCATATGTGGTATTTTTCAGGGACTCTCAAACTTTCACACATGAAATAAACGAGGTAATGTGTATGGCATCACATGATCAAAATATTTTTCCCCTTGCTGCTGCCAGAGCTATCTATTGCTTTTCAACAGTCTCACTTGTTGGGCATCATGCCAAGATGTTTAAGACAACCCCTTACGTGAGCTGTTCCATTCTTAACCTCTTTGACTGAAGTGCCGTGACCTTCACATATGTAGATTAGCCATGTGCTCTGTGAATTGAAACTTGCTGCCTCAGGAAGAAAAGGGTTTTTCTTTTTATTCCACTGGGAATTTGACGGCCATTCATCCCTGACCTGGGCAGAGGTAATGCAAGGAAATTGGATTCAAACGGAACACGGACAGATAACACAGGGAGGCAGTCAGCGTGTACAGGCAGGCAAGCTTTCTACCTGGTCCAGGGTGAAAATACCCACCGTCTGTTCACAATGTGCTGATGTGCAGGATCCGAAGAGCAACTGACAGATGGAGATAGAGAGATAAATGTAGGAATTCTGGAACCGTGTCCTTTTAAAAAAGGACATTGTTATTATGGGCATTGCTAATTCGTTTTGACTCTCCTCTTTCTCTTCCTTTCCAAACTATATTTTTGAAATCTTTGAATTTTTGTTTATTTCCTAATGCTAGGAATTAAATACTTTTGACATAGTGGACAATTTAGATGAGTCTTTCAAAAGCAGAAATCTTTAAAAAAAAGGAGAGATGAATGTATGACCTGTATCTGGAATTTTGAAATGAATTGATACTTAGAACTTTACTCATATGAGAGTTATTAGCTTTGTAATAGCTGAGTATTTTTATTATAGCACTGTTATTTATGGCTCTTCTAAGTCTTTCTCTAAACCTACATTTCTTTATTTGAGAGGCAAGAATGAGAAGCAGCATATCCATAAGAGTTTTGCCAATCACTCCTGACTAGAATGACAAGCTGATTTCATGTTTCCCCAAGTATCAGTCCTATGCAGCCCCCCCTTTTTAAAAAACCATGCAAGGCCGGACCCAGTGGTTCAACACCTGTAATCCTAGCTCTTTGGGAAGCTGAGGTAGGAGAAGTGCTTGAGGCCAGGAGTCCAAGACCAGCCTGGGCAACATAGTGAGACTCATCATAGTGTAATGATGAATAAAAGTAATTAATAGCACATTTTTGGATTTTTATTAGACAAAGCTAGTTTTAAAGAACATTTATCTTTGCCTTGTTAATAAACATACTTGCAGTTAGTGTAAAATTCAGTATAAATAATAGTCATGGTGCTTGAGTAGGCTGATAGGACGAGATGCATAAGGAAGGTTGTCGTTATAAGAATAATGGGTCTGAAGTGGTACTCCAGCTAGTGTCTTAGCAAAAGGAGGGGTGCTTAGGGCAGTCTGAAATTTATGAGTGCTTTTGTATAGCTTTCAAAGCTGAGCTTTTCCTGTGTACATTAGGGTTTATGAAATATCGTGGGTCAGAGCATCCGTTACAGGCGCTGTGGGAGCTGTCATAGATACCTGGCTCTTTCCGTGGGTGTAAAATAGGTTTAGTCCTTAGGATGTCTGTGTAGGGAATGTGCTTAATGGATACGATAGACTATGGGGGAAGCAGAATTATCCTTTTATCCGAGGATGACTTGTTTCTTTTTAAATGAGGACAATGAAAAAAAAATTGGGGGAAGTATCTTATCACAGTCTTGTAGAATGTGGGGGCTTTCGTGGACTGCAGTTCGCATGGCAGGCATAAGGAGCGCTAATCCAGTGATGACAGCATCTTTATGCCTACCTGGGAAGATGCAGCAGCCAGCACAGCCCTAATATCAGATTAATACCGGGGTGGGGGCATGAGGCATGGCTGGCACCTGAGAAGGCAAAAGGGAATTCTGTGATTGGAGAAGAAGCAAGGCAGGTGTGTCATTAAGGTCAGGATGGCCAAGTGGAGAGTGGTCCTCCTGGTGCACACAGTGAAGGAGAGCAGCCAGCTGGGTGCAGAGGAGGCAGCAGAAATGTCAGGGTGTCCGTGAGTCAGCAGCTGAGCATTGTGGGATTTTTTTTCCTTTTCTTTGAGACAGGGTCTTACTCTGTTGCCCAGGCTAGTGGGCAGCGGTGAGGTCATGGCTCGACTTTCTGGGCTTAAGCAATCCTCCCAGCTCAGCCTCGTGAGTATCTGGGCCTACAGGCACATGCCACCATGCCTGCCTACTTTTCAAAATTTTTGCAGAGATGGGGTCTCACTGTGTTGCCCGGGCTGGTCTTGGACTCCTGGCCTCAAGCAGTTCTCCTGCCTCAGCTTCCCGAAGAGCTAGGATTATAGGTGTTGAACCACTGGGCCCGGCCTTGCATGGTTTTTCAAAAAGGGTGGGCTGCATAGGACTGATACTTGGGGAAACATGAAATCAGCCTGTCGTTCTAGTCAGGAGTGACTGGCAAAACTCTTATGGATATGCTGCTTCTCATTCTTGCCTCTCAAATAAAGAAATGGAGGTTTAGAGAAAGACTTAGAAGAGCCATAAATAACAGTGCTATAATAAAAAGCAATAGTAATAGTAATAATGACTACCATTAATGCACTCCTAGTATGTGTGCCAAGGCACATTGCACGTATTATCTGCAATCCTTTCAACAGTCTTGCAAAAGCATCATCATTATCTCTATTTTATAGACAAGGAAACTGGTAGAATTTAGAAATTTGTTCAATACCCTGGTTTTTCTGGTGCTAAAGCCTACATTCTTTCCACTAAACTAGTGGTTTTCAAACCCAGTTGTGCTTCAGAATCACCTAGGGAAGTAACCCCTGCCCCCAGGAACTCAGATGCCATCAGGCTCTGGAGTGGCCTGGAAGCCCACCTTTCTGTCTGTCAGTAGGGCCACTGAAGAGCAAGTGGTAACATTTAAAAAAAAAGACTTCTTTTTTGTTATTGCTAAGACATGTAAAATTGCATTCTTTTTTTTTTCTTTTCTTTTTTTGGAGACAGAGTCTTGCTCTGTCGCTCAGCCTAGAGTGCTGTGGCATGATCATAGCTCACTGCAACCTTGAATTCCTGGGCCCAAGCAATCCTCCCACCGCAGCCTCCTGAGTAGCTGGGACCACAGGCGCATGCTACAATGCCCAGCTAATTTTTAAATTCTTTGTAGAGATGGGGGTCTTGCTGTGTTGCCCAGGCTGGTCTCTTTACATTCTGGGCGGCTCAAGCAATCCTCCTGCCTTGGCCTGGGAGGCCTGGGAGTCTGGGCGTAGTCATTCACATGAACCATGGAGCCTGGCACATTCTTTTTTTTTTTTTTTTTTTTTTTTTTGAGACAATTTCACATCATCACCCAGGCTGGAGTGCAGTGGTGCGATCTTGGTTCACTGATGGCAACCTCTCTCTCCTGGGCTCAAGTGACTCCCACCTCAGCCTCCCAAGTAGCTGGAGTTAAGGCACGCACCACCACACCTGGCTAATTTTTGTTATTTTTTTGTAGAGACGGGGGTTTTGCCATGTTGCCCAGGCTGGTCTTGAATTCCTGAGCTCAAGTGATCCACTCACCTTGGTCTCCCAAAGTCTGGGATTACAGGCGTGAAGCCCTTCTGCACCTGGCCCACATTCTTATAATTCAGGAGCTTTTAGTGTATTTTGGCTCTGTAGTCATTATCAGACATAGAAGAGGCAAGAATTTGGGCTACAAGGGCTGGAGGGTGGCATTGGGATTTTCTGATCACATCACCAGACATTAATTTACATTTGTTCTTCAGGGAAACTCCCTACCATTATCTGGGTCGTTGCTCCCTACCACCGTCTGGGTCATTGCATAGTTACCCAGGGTGGCCGTGAACTAGTCAGCAGCCATTTAGAGGAAAGCCTGCTTGGCTTGGCTGGTTCAGGAGGCGGAGGCTGCTGCAGGGCCTGGGAAGGAGTAAGGCAGCACACGGTGGCTGTTAGGTCATTTGTGTTGGATGAAAGAGAGTTGGTGCACAGACTGGACGGTGTCTCAGATTCGCTGGGGTTTACGAGTCCAGAAATCCATGAGTCCGAGGAAGTGGGAAGAGAGAATAAGGGAAGGGAGGCCGGAAGGTAGGAGAGAAGGGGAAATCCAGGCAGCCGGATGAGAGATAATTTTAGAGTAAGAAACCAACAAAATATAATATTCATTATGTACCCAGATTGAAGTACTATGGTGCTAAAAGTTGTCAACCAAACACCAAAATTAGCATATCTAAAAATCATCAAGACGGTAATGCATAGTTAAAAGAACAGATGTAAGGCAGAAAACTCCTCCAGTTCTTCAGTGAGGTTATTTCATGACATAGAGTCTTGATTATTTCTGTCTTTGTAGCCACACGGTCATTTTGGAGCCAGATTCAGTGGTGTTAGGAGGTTGTGGAAAGCACTCAGCGGACACCTTCTTTCCCTCCCTCCCCAGGCTGCCCAGGCCTCCTCAGGTGTGGGAGGGCTCCCGAGACCCTCTGCGCCCTTCCTTCTCTTCCTTATTATTACTGTGCCTTATGGGTAAAGTACAGTACTGGGAAGTTTCTCTTTATGTCCCCAACTATTCCTCTCTTCTAATTGCCAATAAAACTACATCTCACAGCTTTTTAAAAAAAAATTCAGTTTAGCTCATAACCTTGTCTTAGACAAGGGGTGTAAGTTAAATTTCACGTAAGCGGTCCTGCTGGGGTTCCTGCGCGGTGGGAAAGCTCGGCACTGCTCTGCTCATGCCTGTTTGCGGTGGGAAAGCTCGGCGCTGCTCTGCTCATGCCTGTTGTCTGGGTTTTCAGCGTGTGTGCTCCTCATCTGCTTTCTCTCTAATTTGAGGCTGAGACTGTTTCCAAGTGGCATACCCCTGTAATTCTGTTTTTAGCTTAGAATTAAATGAAGTCTTTGCTGTCTCTTGTTTCCTATTTCATAATATTTCATCTTGCTTTATTGTTTATGGTAATGTATCACTATCAGGGTTATCATGGATTTCCAGTTTTTCAAGTTAAAGCTGACTGTGCCTAACCCATCTCAAGCAAATCAGTGGGCAGTTTATTTTTAAGAGCCCACAGGAAGAAAAAAACAACAAAATCTGTAACCTGCTTTTTAGGCTTTTGCCATGTGTCTGTAAGACTGGACCTTTACTTTTTTTTTTTTTTTTTAAACTTATGAAGGGACTGGGCATCTTCATGTCTTAGCAGCCACGTTTAAATCTCTGTCATTATGATGAAAGGTATCTTTTGCCTAGAAAGCTAACACCTGTCTACTTGTGTTATTTCTTTCAGGGAATTTCAGTAGTAATGTATCATTCATCTAGTGGTAAGATTTTCAGCAATGAGAACATTCTGAAGCAGCTGAGAAAGCCCTAATAAAATAACTGTCAGAATGCTCATGAGCTTCTCTCTGTTGGAGAAGAATCAAGCCATTTCCTCCTCTTCCAGGCATAGAGAATAGTTATCCTTTTTGCCATATTACAAGGACAGAGTGGAGAAGTTCGTCATGCAGCTGTGGGCGCAGGCTAGTGTGTGGGGCTGGGGGAAGCAGACAAGTGGTGAGATGGTGGGCTCTGCTAAGCCCTGGGGTGGGCGTAGGAGCAGAAGCCAGAGCCTGGGGCCTCTGAGTGAGTGGGCTCAGTGAGGGGCAGGCCCAGCCTCATGTGCTTTGAGGTCTTTGAGAGCCTCAGACACCAACCTGGTAGAAGAGGCATTTGGAGGGATGCCTTCCATACCCCAAGACCCTGGGAAAGGAGAGTGGTGAGTCAGGGTTGGGTGGGTGGGAGGCCTGAGTTGATTGCCAGCAGCTGCCAGATACCATGCCCCTTTGTGTATATACTTCCTTTATTCATCAAATAGCTGCTGCCGTCTACTCAGTTGCTGGGTATCTATTCAGTGCCTGCTGTGTGGCAGAGTGTTCTAGGGGCTGGGGATACCACAGTGACAAAACCTAGTCCCTACTTTCATAAGGCTTACCTTCCAGAGAAATTTAATCCCAGAGACAGCAGACCAACCACCCACATGGGGGTGCTGCCGTTTATTGTAGGGATGAACAGCAGTACAAGGGAATTCAAAATAATGGAACATTTTCAAAAATTGGTTTTAATGGAGCTGTAGATGAATATGCAGTAAAATCAGTTTGGAGAGGAGCTATCGCAGCTATTTCTCCAGTCTTTCAGATGCCCGGCCTGAGCCTCTTGTGCCATAGGACAGTTGTTAAATGTAGCATTTCCATTGCCCGTGGTTGAAATGACCAGTGGCAGCCCCGATGCCACCTTTATTTCCTCAAGGCTGGACAGAAGAACCTTGCAAGCGCAAGGTTCTTGACCTGACTCTATGGGAAGGAATCATACAGTGCTGGATTTTTTGAAGGTGTTCCTGCTTTTGGATCATCTCATGTACTTGGTGCCAGGCTGTGGTTTTGGATTTGGACGTGTTGGGTTGAGATGGTTTCCAGACAGCTCGATGGAGATGCTGGAGCAGAAGGAAAAGAGGGATGTGCAGTTGAGGCGGGCACAAGGGCCGCAGCCTGAGGTGCCAGCTGAGAGGCCAATGACACTGCCCTGCGGAGCACGTGCCTGGTGAGGAGAGGTGCCTGGGCGTTCTAGGGGGCACCAACCTTTAGGGATGAAGAGGAGCCACCCAGAGAGCCAGAAAGGGCGATGGAAAAGCTGAGGAGAGTTCCACAGGGGGCAGGAAGACATGCACAACTGAGGTGAGCACTGAGGAATGCCCAGTAAGCCTGGGGGCTGACATTGTGGTCATTTCGTCACTGGTGACCTTCAGAGGAGTGGTCGGGAAGGCGGCAGTTTGCAGTAGGTGGAGCGAGAGATGGATAGGAAGCCAGAAAAAGGCTCTGGACAGCTGGAAGAGGAGCGGGGTGTTTGATGTGTTGTTCTTTTGCTGGAAGAGGGTGGAGCGCCTGCGCCTGCCGCTCTGCTTTCTCTGCTGGGTGCTGTGCTGGTCGCTCCCTCCTGGGGCCCCTGCATGTCCACCCATCCTTCCTCCTCTCCGGTGGGCCTGGAGCTGCTCAGGGGAAGGCGGGAGCACGCCTGGCTCTTTGTGGCCCAGTGCCTGGGGTCGTGCCTGGCATGCGGTGGGGCTCAGATTATGCTGGTGGTGGTGATAGAGTTCCCTTAGCACTCCTAGGTGACAGGCTTTCCCCTCTGCATTTCACAGATTCTAAGGTAACGTACAACGAAGGGTGCATGCGCTTTGGCCAAGGCCATGTTACATGATGGTACCAGGAGTCAGCCCTGAGGCAGATGAACTCCAAAGCCTGTGCTGCCCTCGCTCCTTGTTGAGGGTGGAGAATATTTCACTACCTTTGTAGACTGAGGGGAAGATTATTTACAAATATTTCCAGAAGATTAGTTTTGTAATATATTGAACTACCAGTATATTTTGGATGCCTTTGATCTCTTTGGTAAACTGGATTGTCACCTTGATGTAGTGAGTCAGCTGGCTTGGTGGAGGCATCTCTGAGTGTCTGGAGAAACTTCATAGAGATTATTGCATTTGGGGAGTTAGTTTTGGTCATTGCCACTTGTGTGGCGAAAATCTTGGGTTAAAGCATGGTCAGCATGAGTAAATGTTGTTAATTGTACATTTTCTCTTTACCCCCTCTGAAACCTTATGTTTGAGAGCTGTCATTCAGGATTGGATACTAAAAAACTTGGCAGTTGTGAAATAGTTTTCTCTCTGTGTGTATAGGTTATTCTCTGATGTTAAAATGGCTAATGCTGCACAGGTGTGTATTTCCTACCATATATTTATAAAAAAACCACTCTTTAAATTTCAACTCGTGTACATGTCCCATCTCAAGTCTCAAGTATTACAGACTGTAGGTCAGATTCCCTCATGATATGTGGAACCTCAAAGGGAAATCAATTGTTTTGCTGTTGTAGTGAAATACTAAGTATTGAATAATTAATAATATAAAATAATTCATCAAATAATTTCTAGGTGCCAAGCACTGTGCTAAGAACTCTATATGCATTTTCTGTGAGGTAGGTTCTATTACTGTACTCATTTGAGGCACACATCTAGCGAGTGGCACAGCTGCAGTTTGCACTCAGGCATTCTGACCCCATTGCCTTTTCATATATGCTGTATTGCCTCTCAGGAGGGACTGGAATGAGTAGAGTTGGACAAGTGGTCTGAATTTACATTGTGAAAGGTGGCGTTATGATAGATTTTTTTTATTGCTTGCTTGCGCATTCACATCAGTTGATATATATATATTTGGACACGGAGTCTTGCTCTGTTGCACAGGCTGGAGTGCAGTGGTGCTATCTCCTCACTGCATCCTCAGCTTCCCAGGTTCAAGCGATTCTCCTGCCTCAGCCTCCCTTGTAGCTGGGATTACAGATGTGCACCACCATGCCTGGGTAATATTTGTATTTTTTAGTACAGATGGGGTTTCACCATGTTGGCAAGGCTGGTCTCGAACTCGTGACCTCAAGTGATCTGCCCGCCTCAGACTCCCAAAGTGTGAGGATTACAGGCATGAGCCACCACACCCGGCCTCAAATCATTTGATATTCTATGAAGATACTGGAAAAGCTGATGAAAGATCTTCCTTTCCCTCCAAGAGGATACCATTTGGTTAGAGAGACCTGTGAAACAGAATCATTGAAGAAGCTGCGCAGTAATAAGACTCCCAGCCAGCAGGTGAAATGAGTTTTCTTGTTTTCGGGGTCCTAGGTGACATGGCTCTAAGGTGCCCACCCGGAACCCTCACCCCCACCCCTGCCATGGAAAACACTTTTATTATACACATCCCTCCTGTCCCACCAGTTACAAAGCAGATTTGAACTGAAGCGTATTTCTTCTTTTGATGAGAATGTGAAAGGGGATCTTTGTACTTGGTTAGTTTTCATTACAATTCCCCTTTCCTAAAGAGAAAACTCAGAATCAGGATGCATTTCATGTGTCTGAAGAACCTTTTTCCAACATAAAACCTTTTCAGCATTAAAAGTATACTCTGAAATGGCTCTGTTCAGTATGGCAGCCATCAGCTTTGTGTGGCTATTTAAATTAAAATTAATTAAAATTAGGTTGGGTGTGGTGGGTCACCCCTGTAATCCAACACTTTGGGAGGCCGAGGCGGGTGGATCATCTAAGGTCAGGAGTTCAAGACCAGCCTGACCAACATGGTAAAACCTCGTCTCTACTAAAAATGCAAAAATTAGCCAGGCTTGGTGGCAGGCACCTGTAATCCCAGCTATTTGGGAGGTTGAATGAGGAGAACCTCTTGAACCCTGGAGGTGAAGGTTGCAGTGACCTGAGATTGTACCACCGCACTTCAACCTGGGTGACAGAGCAATACTCCATCTCAAAAGAAAAAAAAGCAAATAAAATAAATTAAAATTAGGCTGGGCATGGTGGCTCATACCTGTAATTCCAGCATTTTGGGAGGCTGAGGCGGGAGCATCACTTGAGCCCAGGAGTTTGAGACCAGCTTGGGCAACATAGTAAGACCCCGTCTCTACAAAAAATTAAAAAATTAGCCAGGCATGGTGGTGTGTGCCTGTAGTCCCAGCTACCTGGGAGGCTGAGGTGGAGGATCACCTGAGCTCAGGAGTTCGAGGTTGTAGTGAGCCACTGCACTCTGGCCTGGGAGATAGAGAAAGACCGTGTCTCTTAAAAAAAAAATTAATTAAATGAAATTAGTTAATGTCTGCAGTGGCATTAGCCACATTGTATGTGCTCAGCAGCACAATCTGTTGTCAGTAGCTGTCTGTCATAAGTTGCAAAATAGATCTAGAACATTCTCATCACTGTAGAAAGCTCTCTGGGACAGTGTTCTAGAGACTCTTGAGTTGCATCTTGTAGTATTTATAACAATTTAAACCTACTAGTACTGTGCCTGGCTCTTAGCAAGTGTAGAATGTGAGCTACTTGAATTTTGGATGGCTGTCAGTAGGGTAGGATCTTGAATAATCTTTTTTTTTTTTTTTTTTTTTTGAGGCGGAGTCTCGCTCTGTTGCCCACTCTGGAGTGCAGTGGTGCAATCTCGGCTCACTGCAACCTCTGCCTCCCGGTTTCAAGCAATTCTCTGCCTCAGCCTTCTGAGTAGCTAGGATTATAGGTGCCCGCCACCAGGTCTGGGTAATTTTTTGTATTTTTAGTAGGGACGGGGTTTCATCATCTTGGCTGGGCTGGTCTTGAAACTCCTGACTTCATGATCACCCACCTCGCCCTCCCAAAGTGCTGGGATTACAGGTGTGAGCCACCGCACCCGGCCTCATCATTGTTTTTGAAACTATCTTTGATAGTACAAATGTATTGCAGTTATCTAAACTTTAAAAATAATGAAAAACCATTAAAACCACATTATAAACAAGGAAAGATTTTTTCCTCTGCTTGAAGCATCTATCCAGGTTCTGCCATATTGTCTAAGGATGGTAAGAGCAGGGTGGGGTCTGTGTTTTTGCTTTTTTTTTAGTAGTAGAGAAAAGGCTGTTTGGAACCAAACATGTGGAAGGCTGTTTTACTTCACTTTGTTTTATATCCACTGAAAATAAATGTAAGTTTAGTTAGTGTTTTTTTTCTTCCACGATGTTTGAAGGAAAGTCCTTGATTTCTGTCTGTGTTGCAGTTTGAACTTTAACCTGTGGCCTGGTAGTTGAAATGGATTGTGCATTTTGGTGTGGAAAAAAAATCGAATTGCTTTCTCGAAATTGACTAAAATGTTTTAACTCTTCATAGCAAATGAGGCGTGAAACAAATTGTCAAAAGCATGGAGACAAAATTATTGCAGTACTGAATGTTTAACTGGTTGGTGCTGTTCTATCGAAGGTGTGAGCCAAGCAGATAAATGTGTAAACGGCACCTTTCTCCTTCTCTCCTACCCAATTTTTCACAGCTTGTCTTCACGAGGAGACCTCCATCTATGTCAGAAAAATCACAGCCCTTCTGAAAGTGTTAGATTATAGTGTTGCTATGAGGAATAATTAGGAAGTCCTGTAGGCTATGGATTAGAAGAAATAAACTTCCTGTTTGCAAACATTTTATTTCACATCATCATTAGATGAAGCAAAAATACATTTTTTAGTGTCTCTGAAAGCTTGATGATATGTAAAGGATGTTAGTTATTTATGTTCATATTCTTTCGTATTCATTCATTGTGTTTCATTCTACTTGGAATATTTTACCCTTCTTTTTAGGATTTAGTAGTTTGAATAATAATGCTTAACCTGAAAAATAATAAAATATTTAAATCATATACTTTTTAGTTTTAAAATATCAAATGTTAATTTAAGGAATGTCCAGAGGTTTAATAAGGAGGACTTCAAATTTTTGACTGTTCCTTCACTTTTCTTTTTGAAGCTTCTATTTAGGTTCTTAGGTTAGGATTTCTCAAGATCCCCACCTATTAGATGGCTACAGCTCTCCTAGCCCCTGGGGCTTTGATTTCTAATGTAGGTCATTGAATGGCCAAAACAGATGTGCCATACAGAGTGCAAAGCTTTTAAATAAGGAGAAAGATTATGTATTGGCATTGTTTTTTTGTGGCTAAGTATAAGTTGAGGGTTATTGTTTATATTTCTAAGTATTTTTAGCATCTCATAAGCAAAGAGGTGGATGAATATATGTGTACATATGTGTTTATGAGTATGTAGCTGTGTGTTATTTGTGTATGTACACAATATGTTTCACAGTTTTATTATAACTACAAATATGAAAAACAATTAAAGCGTGATCCTTATGCTAATGCAGCTGATTATACTTTTGCATGTTTCCATGTAGTTTTTATTTCTGATGGGTGTATGTGTGAGTATAAACATTTTTTTTCTGTCCTCCCAACCTATTTTGTTTTTTTTTAAATTACTGCTATAGCGATAGGTATATGTAAAGAGTATAGGAAATTGATTATACAACTTCCAAGCAACGATGTTTTCTTTTTATCAGATTGACTCTAGTATGCAGAGATGATGGAATTTTCGTGCATGTGGTCTTGTACATTTATTAAGCCTTTTCAATGAAGATTTAAGAGCCAACATTTTATTTATGAAATTCAGTCCACATTTATAATGTTGTATAATAGAAATGTATGTACATTTCCTGTGATTTTTCAGTATAGAAGAATAATGGATCTTGCAAAGATTGTAGTTGCTGTTACTTACCTTTTTAAGAGAGAACCAAAATATTTTCCTTTCCTTTCCTTTCGTTTCAGTGTTCTCTAAGCTGTGTGTCTATCTATAAATCTTTATCCATCCACCATCTTCCTCCCTCTGTACTTACCTGTCTTAAACTTACCTAGACTTACCTTTGCCTTCGTTTTGCATTTATGATTTTTCCCTCCTTTCTCTTCAAGTGAATGCTTTATTTTTGTTTTCATGGTGTGTTTTTTTCTTGCTTTCATTTTATCTTTTTCTCTTTTTTTTTTTTTTAAATTCCTTTTTTGATCTAGTTCTTCCTGCCCCTCCACAGCTGCCCACATTGAGTGGGTTAGTTGTAAGTGTCCCATTCCACATCCTGTCTTGGGTGGGCTTTCCTGTAAGATTTTTCCTGGGTGTCTGTTATTACCTTTTTTTCCAATACATATTAAAACAATTGGCCATTTTTCATCATGTTTAGGAAACACTTAGCCTTGTTTTCCTCATCTGCAAAATAGGGATGATGAAACGTAATTTACGTGGTTGCTAAGAGAGCTAAATTAGTTGAGGTGTGTAAAGCATATAGCTTTACATCCAATGTGAAATAAGTGTTCATTAAATGTTAGTGGCAGAGGTAATAGTAGTTGTAACGTTGAATTGCCTGGTATGATGGAGAATGTTTCTAAAGAACACCCCTCAAGGCTGGGCATGGTGGCTCACTCCTGTAATCCCAGCACTTTGGGAGGCTGAGACTGGCTGATCAGTTGAGGTCAGGAGTTCGAGACTAGCCTGGACAACATGGTGAAACCCCATCTCTACCAGAAAATACAAAAATTAGCTGGGTGTGGTGGTGCACGCCTGTAGTTCCAGCTTCTTGGGAGGATGAGGCAGGAGAATCACTTGAACCTGGAAGCGGAGGTTGCAGTGAACTGAGATTGCACCACTGCACACCAGCCTGGGTGACAGAGCAAGACTCCGTCTCAAAAAAAAAGCAAAAAAAAAAACACCCCTCAATTTTGGATTACATTGATAATTAGGGGCCAGATCATAAAGAGAGCTTTATTTACTGTATTAGTTTGTTCTTACACTGCTATCAAGATATACCTGAGACTGGGTAATTTATAAAGGAAAGAGGTTTAGTTGACTCATAGTTCTGCATGGCTGGGGAGGCCTCAGGAAACTTAGAATCATGGTAGAAGGCACCTCTTCACAGGGTGGCAGGGGAGAGAATGAGTGCCCAGCGAAGGGGGAAGCCCCTTATAAAACCATCAGATTTCGTGAGAACTAACACAATCACGAGAACAGCCTGGAGGAAGCCATCCCCATGATTCAATCACCTCCCACCAAGTCCCTCCTACAACACATGGGGATTATGGGAACTATAATTCCAGATAAGATTTGAGTGGGGACAAGCCTAATCATATCAACGTATCATGAAAAGATTACATTTTATTCCAGGGGTCATAGAAACCATTGAAGAATTTTACTACTAAGAGAGATGTGATCTGATTGGCAAAAAAAAAAAAAAAAAAAAAAGAAATTGGCCCTTTTTGTGTCTTAATGTTCCTATTTCACCCACCCTTAAAATATAAAATTTAAAGATTAGGCAGTATTACTAATGGCCAGTACTTATAAAGTGACATGTAAATAGGACAAGAGTTTAACAAATGTAAACATCTCACTAAATTTTAGTACTTCACTTACCAACCCTTGGATGTTTAGCTAATAATTGCTAATTATAACTATGCATTTGTTTGCTTATACTACTCTGGCAGGAACAGGCCTCTCTCAGCTTACTCAGTAGGCCAAGTTAGAGATTCTGGGTTGGGCCCTAGTTTTTCAGGGATGTAGTATTGGCTCATTGGATTTAAATCTTAGGGAAAATCTGGTGGAGACACTTTGCCTCCACCTGCAGCCTGCTGTGCTGGATGTGTAGTGAGGGAATGAGACAGGATAGGCCCGAGAGTAAAGTGGTCTGTTTGAATCCCCAGTTCTGCCACTCATTTTTTGTAAAATGGGAATAATGATAATATCTAAGTTCTGGGGTTATTTTGAGGATTAAATGAGGTCGCATGTTTAAAGCATATAGGATGTTGTCCGAGTGTCAGCTTTTATTGTTACCATTACTATTCTTGAGGAAACCTAGCAGGTTTACACTTCACCAAGGAAGGGCAGCTATTGGTTTGCCTATAGGAGTATGCTCTCTCTGCTCTCAGAGGGCCTACAAGAAAATTTTTTTTCTATCCAAATGTCACCTTTGCTTTTATTTTCTTTCCTTTCCATACACGGAAGAAAAAATAGGAAAAAGAATTACATATACTTTGCAACTTTTTAATTATTTATTTAATTTTATTTTTTTTTAGAGACAGTGGAGTGCAGTGGCACCATTGTAACTCACTGCAGCGTGTAACTCCTGGGCTTAGGTGATCCTCCCATCTCAGCCTCCTAAGTAGCTGGAATCACAGATGCGCACTGCCACAACCAGCTAATTTTTAAATTTTTTTGTGGAGATGGAGTCTCGCTGTGTTGCCTAAACTGGTCTCAGAGTCCTGGCCTCAAGTGATCCTCCTGCCTTGGCCTCCTGATGTGTTGGGATTACAGGTGTGAGCCACTGTGCCCAGCCACATTTTTCAGCTTTGAAACCCTGTAATGTGAGTTCCCCCTCACTCCAGTTAGAAAGCTCATTTCTAATTTCCGTATTGGCCACTTTTTCTGTGTCACATTCACTAAATTAGGTTTAATGGTGGGTCCCAAAATCATAACCATAAACCTTGTTGAGGTTCTGTTTTCTTGTCCATAAAATGGGGATTAAGTGAATTGCTGGAAGGGTGCGTTGCCCAGGTCCTCAATAAGTGATAAACTCACGTTCAGCACATTCAACAAACTTTTAAAGGTTTTTAAATAAAAAAAGCAAAGGCTTATGGTCTTTGGAAGGTTCTTTTAGTTTCTCAAGTTGGGACCCCATGCCTTACCGTGCCACTGAGTTGAAGAACAGGTTCTACCTCTGGCTTTCAGAACCTCCTTAGAGCTGGTTTGGAGGTGTTCCTGCTCTCTACGTGTCCTTTCTTCTAAAAACACATTTCACAAAAATACATTTCACAGACTTTACTGTATCATATTTTCAACCAGAGTTTAAATGGGGATTGTTTGGTTTTGCTTAATAATACTACTTTACAGATGATTTAATAATTTCCAAAGTGCTTTTCTTATCTAGTCCTCACAGTAATCTTGCGAGGTTTGGTTAATATCCCTGTTTCGTGTGTGCTGAAGCAGAAGCACAGTGACTTGGCTAAGGACACGACTTTATTTCAAACCAGGTTTTGTGACCCAAATCTGAGCTTTTGCACCTCACACTGTTGCTGTGGTGTGTTACAGTGATTCTTTAGCTTAGAGACACGTTTGGATCAGGGGGTCAGCAAACTTTTCCTACGAAGGGCCACATAGTAAATAATTCAGGTTTTCTGGGCCAGATGATGTTTGTTTCAACTACTCAGCTCCGCTGAGGCAGTGCTGAAGTGTCCATAGACAATCCGTAAATGAACGTGGGAGGAGGCTGCGTGCCAGAAAAGCTATGGATGCTGAAATTGAATTTCATGTAATTTTACATGTCTTAAAATATTCTTTTGATTTCTTTCCCCCAACCATTTAAAAATGTAAAACATATTCTTAGCTTATGGGTCCTACAAAAACCAAGCGGTGGACCAGATTTGTCTGGAGGACCGCAGCTTGCCAACCCCTGGACAGCGTGCGTTTTTCCATTTCCAGTTCCGTCCAAGTATTGTGCACCCCCCCACGCCCCACCCAGTGAAGCATCTTTGTTTGCACAACTCTTTATTCTCTAGCATCTCAGCTAACAGGAAGCTGGGAGAAAGTTCAGATCTATGGAGTGGAAGAGCCCAGGGTGAAGGGAGCCAGCGGATCACGTGGTGTCGGAAACGCCTTAAGCAAGAAGCTTGCATGTCAGAAACCAAGCTCAGGGTTCTCTGTTGTGTTTTGGTTTTTACTGCCCGCCATCTAGTTGAGTTTCTTCATGTTCTAGGAGCTCTGTCAGTTCTTTAATTTCCCCCCACTAGAGTTTTGAGGTTTTTTCTTAAGGTTTTTTTTTTTTTGAAAAAGAGAGTTACAGACATGTAGTGCATTAGTATAGTTTGATTATTAAAAGATTCAAACGCTGGCAAAAACGTGTATGTTGAATATTTAAACTCTCATTTACTGCTTCCCCTTCCCAGAAGTATATGCTCTTAAGTTAAATGTGTCTTTTAGTTGATTTTAAAATACTGCATGTGAACATAGACAATTATATAAATATAAACATCTGTATATAAGATGATATTGTACGTGTTCTCTGACCTTTTCCTTACAGAAAGTTCCTTGGATCACACCACAGTGGTTCGACTTTTTGCTTTGGGTAATTTGTTGTGTGAGCAAGAGAGGTTCTCAGTTGTCTAAGCAGTCACTGAACAGTGAAAAAACACAATATCATTTTTTTTGCTGTGGACTGTGGAATCATTTTAGAATGTCACCCTCTTTTGAGGCAGTTGGCAGGATTTGCCCGGAAGGATCAGGATAGGGTCTTTGGGTCTGAGTCCTGCGTGACTTCCTTTTCTGACAGCCTCAGATGCAGTCCTAGACTCCCGTGTCATTGAGCGCTGTCCATAACATCTTACCATGAGTGTGCTATAAAAATACAACCTCTTCATTGTTAAGCCGTGTTACTGTTGAGGCTTTAACCCTATTGTATCCCAAAGCAGAAGCAGAGGTAGATATTTCAAAGTAATTGGATTTAGTAATTGAAATTTCAAAAGTAATTGAGAGATGAGAGCGTTTCCTATTTGGAAGACATCAGCTGGATTTTATTTTATTTTTCCCGAAGTTATTTGCATTCTGTCTTGTTAGCTTTAGAAATAAGAACAGGGAAAACAGAAAGGAGAACATGTAGTGGTATAATGTAGATCTTAAAATACTTCAGAGTTCTCATTCTTTTTTTGGTATGGTACTCAATAGGTATTCTAGTCAAATGTAGGCTATGACTTTGTAAATAATCTCTCTTGAAAAAAGGGAGCCTTCATTGTGTTCTTGGCAGCCTATCACGTGGTGCTCTTGTGAGTGTGGGCTCCAGCCTACATTGACCGTGAACCAGAGCAGCCCTGTTACTAAAGTCAATGCTTGTAATTCTCTTACAGTCCTCATACCACAGATTTCCTTGCAATCATACTTTTTTCTTTCATTCTCTTTTTTACCTGTTTTGTTTTCAGTCTCAGCTAAAATTGAATATATATAAGTGTACTAACTCTCTATAAAGAAGTCTTTTTCTAATCTACATGCCACTATGAAAATTGAAAATAAAAACATTATCTGTATTGTTTAATAAGGATTTATTCATTAGTTGTGCACATTCTTTATTTGTTCATTTGGTTTTAAAATATCAATGCTCTTATTTTTACTTGATGAAAGGAGAGAAACTTCTTTTAACGAATGTTTTTAGAGGCACTAAAATCCTTGATTAAAAACAGTGTTAAGGATTTGTATTTCATTGTGCTTTGGGAGAAATGTCTTAAGATTTGTACACACGAGTTTGTTTTATCTGTGTGACTCTAATTAAAGTTAATCAAAGTCACATGGCTTAGCAAATCACTGAAGTTTCTTTTTGGAGGTTTTTATTCATTTTAGTAATTTGATTTGTTGATTTGCTATTAATCTTTTAAAAGTAAAACATCAATAACCTAATTTTATAAAGTATCAGGTGTCTTTTTTTTGGCCTACTTTACGTTACTTACTCTGTACTTTCAAGCAGGCACATAAAGGCTCAGTCTGTTTCAGCTCTGTGCACTGCTGAGCAGTGTCTTACCATGACTGACCTCCTGATTAAGAGGAAGTTAGCACGTGAGAGCCACATTGAGTCTGCTGGCCTTAGCTTCATGTGCTATGTGAGAGATGTGGTCATTTTGTACACAGGATGTTATAATGGGATATTGACATTTTACGGATCCAGCATCCTGTGTATAAATTAAGCTTTCTTTTTAAGAAGACATTTTACAGTTGTAAAATTCTCGCCTATTTGAATTTTGAGATCTTGATGAAACATAATCCCTGGAGTGCTCTTCCACTGTTGCAGTGTAATCTTTCCATATGATATCTGATTTAGTTGGAAGCAACTTAGTAATTATGCATGCTTAAAGGAAGCAACTTAATAAACAGGATTTTAGAGAAACCCAGTCAGAATTGTAAAATGGTACTGCTGAATCAATTGCATTACATAGAATTACTGGGTTAGATGTAGGTTTGAGATAAGTGGGCAGACCTGAGGCTCCTGTACCACCACCATTGTCAAGAGCATGTGAAGATTTGCCTTTTTCAAAGAAAAAAAAAAAAAAAAAAAAAGGACTCCCTTTCCCTTGGTTCGTTCAAAAATGATTCAAAAGTAGCCTTCTCAAGTCTGGTGGCTGAGGGCCACCAGAAAGTGGAGCGGGCCTTGGTTCTGACATGGGCTTAGCATGGTAGGCTAGGTAAAGTCAGCTCTGTGGAGGTGGGCACAGTTTGTCATGTGGTCAGGTGGCATGCAGAGGACAAAAAGATGCAGCTCTGAACTTGAGGATTTAAGCAATCATCTGGGAAATCAGCACAGCATGTGGCTGAGGAATCAGATTCAGGAGGGAGGTGAAGACTGTCAGGTGCAGCAGGCCCCATGTGTGACCTCTGCTGCTTTACATGTGAAATATAGGAAGGGGAAAAATAACTATTGAAAATCATTTCTGTTCCTTGTCAGCTTATACACATGTACTATTAAATAGTCACAGTTTAAACTACTTATTTTCAGTTCACTATTTTGTACACATTGTCCTATATTGGTATTATTGCTAGCATTTCTGCAATTTTTTGAGTTAGAATTTAGGGTGACCTCTCAAGAATATTTTGTCATACTGATTCCATCTACAGATATACGTTGTGGTAGGTTCTGGTTATAAAAGTGTAAATGGTAACAGCTGCCATTTACCAAAGATCCACCTGCCAGCCTGCCTGCTTTATAGATGAGGGGATTGAGGCCTGGGAGGTTGAGGAACTTGCCTCAGCTCCTGGAGCTGCGTTGGATTCCTGCTCTCATTCTGTCTTCCTTGTAAAGCGAGAGGGGTGTTCTCCTTTGGTTTGTAAACTCTCTTGCTATTTCACAGCCTCTGGTGTCCAGAAGACACATAAACAGACAATGGCAACCAAACCTTCTAAATTTTAGAACACAGGTTTCCTCAGGGGTCTCTGATCTCTTGATCATTTTCATTTTGCCTGGTGGTTTCAAGACAAACTTGATATAGAAGGTGATCCTTGAGTCAAGGCCTGAAAGATGAGGAATCAGCCCCCAATAACTTCTGGAATCGTGTGTCTTCAGGCTTCTGGAGAATGTGAGAGCACCAACACCAATATTTTGCACAGCAGCAGGTCTTATGTGGGAGGGGCAAGAGTGAGGAAGAGCTATATGAAATGTGTATTATTTGTATTAGCTTGTGGATTAGTTTGCTGTTGCTGCATAACACATTGAGTGGCTTAAAAGAACACACATCGATTATGTCAGTTTCTGGAGGTTAGGAGTCCAGGCATGGCTTAGCTGCCATACTCTGCTTGGGGTCGTAGAGGCTGTAATCCAGGTGTCAGCCGGGCTGCATTCTCATCTAGAGGCTTGACTGGGGAAGGCCGCCTCAGACTGTTGGCAGAATTTATTTCCTGGTGGCTGTAGAATTCATATCTGCCTGCTTCTTCAATGCCACCAGCAGAGAGAGAATCTGTAACTTCTGGGAAGGCCTGGACCCTCTTTTAAAGGGCTCACCAGATTATGTCAAGCCCATCCAGGCCACTGTTTTAACTTAATGTCATGTGATTAAGGAGGGGCTTTAATTATATCGGCAAAGTCTCTTCCTTTGCTATATTTTCTTAGTTAGATGCCAGTCACAGGTCTTACCCGTACTCAAGAGGAGAGGATTACACAGAAGTGTGGATACGAGGGGCATAAATCCCATGGATTTATTTTAGAATTCTGCCAACTACAGGTTGTGTGTTATAATTCATAAAAATAGCAGTGGTTTCTGTTGGTCTGTTTATGCTGCCATGACAAAATGCCAGACAGAATTTCTCCCTCTCAGTTCTGGAGGCTGGCAGTCCGAGATCAAGGTGCTGGCAAGGTAGTTTTCATTCTGAGGCCTCTTCCCTGGGCTTTTAGGTAGCTGCCACCTCTCTGTGTGCCCACATGGTCTTTCTGAGCATGTGCAGGGGGAGAGAGAGGATGCAAGAGCCTGTGCATGCCTGTACCAGAAGCCTGGTCTCTCTTCTTATAAGGACAGCAGTCCTGTCAGATTAGAACCCATGCTCATGGCCTCTTTTAACCTTCATTACCTCTTCATAGACGCTAGTCCCAAATACAATCACATTGGACATTAGGGTTTTGATGTAGGAATTTTGGTGGGGGACACAATTCATTCTGTAGCAGGCTAAGAAAGTCTTCTAGTTACATTCTGCTTATCTCAAGGGATATCAGTTGGGGTATATATATAGATGCCTTCCCCAAAAAGCATCATGACCCTTATATTATAATATGACCTTGGGCAAATTACCTACTCTAGGAGATGATTTCCTTCAACTAAAATAGTGGTTGGCAACATTAACTACTTTGCAGGATTTTTGTTCGCATTGGTTGTGCTGTGTGTAAATCACCTATAGTGTGCCGAGGGCACAGGAGGTGCTCATTAAATGTTGTCTGTTGTTGCTGTATTTGTGCCTTGATATTTCTGCATCTCTCTCTCTCTCTTATTTGAAACAGGGTCTTCCTTTGTCGCTCAGGCTGGTGTGTGGTGGCATGATCACAGCTCATTGCAGCCTCAACCTCCCAGGCTCAAGTGATCCTCTGTCCTCAGCCTCATGAGTAGCTGGGACTACAGGCATGTGCCACCACACCTGGCTAATTTTTGTATTTTTTGGTTTTGCTATGTTGCCCAGGCTGATTTCTTTTTTTAATTATTATCTACCTTAAATGAAGAATTCCCCATGAATCCTTCCATTTCTTCAAGAAAGAAGTGGTTACTCTCCCCTGAACTCATAGGACAGTGGCATTTATAAGCCTCTGTCCTATAGTATTTATAAGCTTATTTTTGCAGTGTATTATTTGTATACATCTTTTGTTTCTTCTGTTTCTTAAAGTCAAGGACCTTCTTATACCTCTGCTTATCTTTTTCATAGTGCCTTGTACATTAATATTTTTTCAGTTTAAACAATGTTGAATGAACAAATAAATGAATGGGCATGGCCTCTGAGGTAATGTGTTTCCTCTTTCATCTAAATCTTTGTTTCTCAATCCTTTCTAACTCATGCCTTCTTTTGAAAATGTAAGTTTCCTTACACCCCTTCCACCTTTCAGTATCTCCTCCCAAAAGACCAGGCCCGCAGCCCCCATCTCCCTTGATGGGACAAGCTCGACTTTTCCTACAGATCCTCAACAGTTGAGATTATTTTATCAAGCTCCACTTTCATGTGGTATGTTATAAAAAAAAAAAAAAAAGCTTTCCTCCTTTCTTTTCCAAATAGAAAATTATAATCCTGGGTGTGTGTGTGTGTGTGTGTGTGTGTGTGTGTGTGTGTGTGTGTATGTATATACATACGTATGTATATACATATATATACACATACGTATGTATATACATATATATATACACATACGTATGTATATACATATATATATACACACATACGTATGTATATACATACATATATATATATTTTTTTTTTTTTTGAGACGGAGTCTCGCACTGTTGCCAGGCTGGAGTGCAGTGACACCATCTTGGCTCACTGCAACCTCTGCCACCCAGGTTGAAGCAATTCTCCTGACTCAGCCTCCCGAGTAGCTACAACTGTAGGCGCATGCTGCCACGCCCTGCTAATTTTTTTTTTTTTTTTGTATTTTAGTAGAGATGGGGCTTCACCATGTTGCCCAGGCTGGTCTCGAACTCCTGAGCTAGGCAATCTGCCTGCCTTGGCCTCCCAAAGTGCTAGGATTACAGGCGCGAGCCATTGCGCTCAGGCTATCCTGGGTGTGTATTTTAACCGGACCCTCCTTGTAACCCTCGTTCTTATTTATGTAGCATTCATTCATTTTCACCCTTGAGAATTACTGCTCTAAACAATTTCTGATATACTGTAGAATCCTGTTACAGGAAGTAGTGAAGTTAGAATTAAGTGTTCAGGTGCGGTGTTGTGTCTCCACTACCTTTGCACATGTGTAAGAGAATATTCTGTCTTCCCTTTATATGATTCTTTTTAAATGACAGGGTTAAACTGATATGCATTTGAATTTGTCGAACCCTGTTCTCCAAAATGATTCCAGTTTGTGTCACTTAAGGAGTGACCCTAGACATATATTAGGCTTTCATAAGACCTTTCTCTCCAGAGCTTACAGCGCTTTGCAGACATTACCTTATCAATACTTAGGGCATCCTTGTGAGCCAAGCAAGAACTGGGAGCTGTTGCTGTTTTTTTTGCAGTGGAATAGCACGAGAAGTTCAGGAGGGGCCTGCCCTCCAGACCCCATCTCAAGGATGTGTGCGCTGGTCAGACCCTGCCTTCATGCTCCCGCGCTGTGGATTCTTCACGGTAGCCTGCACCACGAGAGTGGGTACAGTGTGCCAGCAAACAAAATGCCTTTGGTCACAAGATAATAGAGTAAATTTACAAGGTGATGTTTATTTTTAAAGGAATACGTAAGAATCAAAATTCCATGTACTGAAAGGAATGTAAAATATTAATACATCTGGAGTGGTGGCTCACGTCTGTAATTCCAGCACTTTGGGAGGCTGAGGTAGGAGGATCACTTGAGCCCAGTAGTTCCAGACCAACCTGGGCAACATGGCAAGACCCCGTCTCTACAAAAAATACAACAAAACTTAGCTGGGCATGGTGGCACGCGCCTATGGTCCTAGCTACTATGGGGGCTGAGGTGGGAGGATCACTTGAGCCGGGTAAGCCATGATTGCCACCGCACTACAGTCTGGGTGACAGAGTGAGAGGCCCTGTCTCAAAAACAAAAGCACCAATGTAAAGTACATCTGGTCTCCACAGGGGACTTCTTTTAAGTTCAAGGTGTCTTATTTAAAAGAGGCTGTGTTTGGAATTGGATTGCAGCAAATGGGGGTTGTTTTAAGCCTGCCCGCCTCTATATTCTGGAAGTTATATTATGCCTTTGAAAACAAATTGGCTTGGCGTGGTCAATCCTGCTTTTAGTTAATGTTGAGGATGTGGGAAATGCAACCATGAGCTTGCGGGAGAGATGGGGTCCCAAGATTTAGGGACCTGTGTAGAATTGGGCATCTTTCTGAGAAGGCAGATTGATGGTAAAGAAAAGTAGAATCTTTGGCTAGTTTGATGTTTATGTGGGTGCACTTGAAATAGGATGTTGTAGGCAATGCCGTCTCACTTTTGGGAGGATAATACTCAATAACTATTAAAAATCCCCTTTCATCCCTTGTTCTGTACTCCTCATTTTTTTTTTAATACAACAAATGCTTTTTAGCCTAATCTCCGTTAATTGTGATGACAGGTTTTTAGGTGAAGACCCATCAATTATCAATAGACTATTAAATATTAAATAGTGAGCAAGAAATTCAATATAAAAGTGTGTATGTAACAATAATATTCAAATATTGTTGAAAGACTGCGTGCTTACGTGTTTTGAGTATACCTAAAGTGGATATACTTTGTGTCTCCATTGTAAATTCCTAAAATTTCTGGTCATGGCTTTTTTATTAGAAAGTCTAAGAAAAGAAGAGTATGGGAAATTGAAATGGCTGGCAGTAGACAAGTAGCATGCCACTGTAAGATAGTGCTCTTTTTATCTTGATATAGACATATCCAGACATGTGTATATTTTGTAACGTAGGGTAAAATTTTCTACTGTTGAGTTTGTCCATATACATTCTAGTTATTATTTTAAGATAGTAAAGATCCTTCGTGCGCTGATGCTAGATTGGTATATTAATTCACTTAGCAGAAGGGTATTGATATTGAGTGTAATTAGCATGAAACACTTTGAACTTTTTTAGGCTGAAAAGGATAATGTAACTTCTTTAGTTTTCCTCCTTTCTCCCTTTCTCCCCACACCCATTTTTAAAATAACAGTGCTTTTCATACTGTCAGAATTTCATGTTGTGACACCCTACTCAGAAGTTATGACAGCAGGGTAATGACAGCAACTGCCTCCTGAAAATCAATCAGGCAATTAATTTTGTAAATGAAATGCTGATTATACAAAGCTTCACATGAGAGGCCCAGTGATTAAAATCAATTTAACAAATTGTTTCAGGTGGGACTTGATTAATAATTTGCCATAAATGCTAAGGATATATGACCAGCATACCTTGTTGTTGCTGTTACTATCCAGCTATATATAAAAATCGACAGGTAAGCTCTATCTATCTTTATATTAGTGACACTTTGCTTGTTTGTTTACCTAAGTAGGCCTGGGTAACAGTGAAAATGGAATGCATTTTTACATTTTTATGTCATCCTGGTTCATGTTTTCCTGTGTTCTGCTTTAAAAAACATTGCCCAGGCAGGTTTGAGTTCAACCAAGTTAAGTAAGTTTTTTCTATATAGGACATTTTAGACTTTTCTCATGTTAATATATGTTATGAATCTTGAAGAATGGTGTGCGCTTTATACACATTTACCATTCTTAATTACAATAACATCTATTCATATACTTTGGGAAATACTGTTTTTAGAATACTAGAAATAGTGACATTATAGTATGGAAATTAAAAAATGCCTATGTTTGGAGCATTATAGTTTGAATTCAGAAGTCACTTGGAATAGGAGATGGATGTCTTTCCAGCAGTCACATACCAAACATTTATTAAATGCCTGTTATAAGTCAGACAGCATATCGATTTTCATAATTTTATTACTTATACTTGACACAGCTAGGAAGACAGTACAATATTGTTTAGAAAAGGATGGCTTGGAGAGAGGTAAGGGTTAAAAGATGCACTTGGGTTTCTTTAATTTTGTTTTTTTATTAAAGAAATAATAGCAATAATGGTTGTCCATTGGGTGTCAGAAGTTGGGGCTATAAGGAAAATTAGGGTGAGGAAAAAACATATCTGGCCTTAAAGAACTTACTGTCTGATAAAGGAGGCAGAGATAAACAATGAGTTGCAGTTGATGGTGATAAATTGAGTATCTGTTAAATAAGAGAGCTGTGGGGAACGGTGGAGCCTTGTGAAGGCAGGCTGCTGGACTCACTGGTATTTCCCCAGGCTGGAAGTGCGTCTTCCGTTTACAGGGCAGCCACAGCTGTGCTGGGTACAGAGTGTTCTAGAAATGGGTTTGGAGTTGTGTGCTCAGGCATCGGCTTGGTGGTGCATAAGAGGGCTGTCCAGGTACAGGGCGGGCTGAGGCCTGATAGGTCGCTGGGCCTGTCACCTTGAGGCTAACCTTGTTTGTTTGAATTTGTCCTTCTGGAGTTTGGATTTTTCGGACCCCTTTATGTCCTCTTTCTTACTTTTGATCTTCAAGGAAGTTTATTGATAAGATTTCTGATCAAAGAATGGGGCAGAAAGGAGAAGTGTCTCTAACAGTCCACATTCTTTTTGATACCACAGCATAATCAGAAGGTCTGGCAGGGAGGGAGAAGGGAAGATTCTAGAATTATCGCACGTTAGAACAATAAGGAACTTCATCCCATTTGCCCTTTAATTAAAAAAAAAAAAGAAAAAAAAAGGCCGGGCATGGTGCCTTACACCTGTAATTCCAGCACTTTGGGAGGCTGAGGTGGGTGGATCACCTGAGGTCAAGAGTTCAGACCAGCCTGGGCAAAACCCTGTCTCTACTAAAAATACAAAAAAAAATTAGCCAGGCGTGGTGGGCAGGAGAATCACTTGAATCCGGGAGGTGGAGATTGCAGTGATCTGAGATTGCATCACTGCACTCCAGCCTGGGCAACAGAGTGAGAGAATCCGTATCAAAAAAGCAGCCTGATGTTGTGACTCACACCCATAATCCCAGCACTTTGGGAGGCTGAGGCAGGAGGATCACTTGAGCCCAGGAGTTTGAGACCAGTCTAGGCAACATAGCAAGACCCCATCTCTATAAAAAAAATTAGCCAGGTGTAGTAGCACACGCTTGTGGTCCCAGCTATGTGGGAGGCTGGGGTGGGAGGATGGGTTGAGCCCAGGAGTTTGAGGCTGTGTGAGCTGATTGCACCACTGCACTCCAGCCTGTGTGACAGAGCAGGACCTTGTCTGACTCTTAAAAAAAAAAACCACACACACAAAACTTTTATTTTGAAATAATTTTAAATTTACAGCAAAGTTGCAAGAATAGTGCAGAGAAGTCCCATGTACCTTTTATTCTGATGCATTACATTTTTACATTTTGCTACATTTACTTTATTATTCTGTCTGTTCATCTATCCATCTGTTCATCCATCATTTATTTATAATGCATTTTCTCAGAATCATTTTTGAGAGTAGGTTGTATACATTCCGCTTCTTTACTCCTAGATACTTCAGGGTGTATTTCCTAGGAGCAAGCATATGCTCTTACACACACCTCAGTGCAGTTATCACTGTCAGGAAACTTAGATTTGATTGCATACTTTAACCTACAGTCTACATTCTAATTTTGTCTGTTGTCCTAATAGCATCTATATAGCAATCTTCTCTCCTTCAGTGTAAGATTCTGTCTGGCCTTTATATGTTGAATTTAGTTGCCCTATTTTTTTTTTTTTTTTTTTTTTTTTTAGAATATAAGATTTGACCATATATTAGTCATGTTAACTTGTTTTTCTTTAATGAAGCACATTACAGTAAGAGTCAATATATGCTTACACATAGTTACAGCTCTGACAAATTAGATATCTAATAGGGTCATATCTCTGAAAAGCATTTTAAAACCAGGGGCAAATAGCCTGTGTATCAGCATGGCAAGCACCCTTTGTCCCAAGATAGGTAAGTCAGTTGGTAATTTTCTTATCTTAACTGGCATTTTAATACAATTTTTAAGTTGTTTATTTAAAATATTGATAAAATAGTTGGAAAGAGGCATGGTAGCAACCATAGGGATTGCTGGGGAAATTAGTAACTTCTCTGTCTTTACGTAGTGCTCTGATATGTGTTTGGAATTGTTTATCCTTGCAAATCACACTAAACATCTTTTGAATGGTTGTCTGAGGGAGGTATTATTATTTTTACTTGAGAGGTGGGGAAATTGAGGCTTAGAGCACTTCAATAATTTACTTAACATTTCATGGCTAGTCAGAAGTAGGAGAGAGATGTGAACCCAGGTGTACCTGATGACATACTTTTAGGCTCTTTCCATTTTACTGGAGATGGCAAATTACTTTTTGCTTGTGCAAATTCTGATAGTTGACACAACTGCCCGCAACTCTGCAGGACAAAAGATTCTGAGGCTTACTGGACTTAGAGAAAATAATGCTAGGATTGATTAGCAATGTCTGTCTTCTGCACATTGATGGAGGAGTAGAGGGTTTCCATGCCTCATTGATTATTCTGGAATTATACCTCCATATAATAATGATGATAATAAAATCTATCCTTTTAAAAAAAAAAAAACCTGTTATGTACCAAGAACTTGAATGTATTATCTCCAGTTCTGTAACAGCTCTGAAATGATAGTGGTAGTGTTCTTTGTGTACAGATCCATTAACTGAGGTGCAAGGAAGTTAAGTGGTAGCTTTCTTCAGTATCACAGAGCTACAAGTGGTGGGGTTAAAATTTGACATAGTCTCACAAAAGCTTCTTTCTCAATTTGAATCTGTATTTGTATGGGAAATATACCATATTATTTCTCCTTCTTAAATAAGTGCTTGCTACTAGGCTGTCAGTAGTGACACATGGTTATGAACAATACTGCATACTTAGAGATGTAAATGTTAGAAAATGTTAAAGCCATGATAAAAGCTTTACAATTTTTTTGGGTAGCAAGAGTAACAAATGTGAGGAAAAATGGAAATATATTCTATTACTATTTTGGTATTCCTTTTAGATCTAACTTACTCTCAAAATAAACAATATATATAGCCTTTGGTTTGTTCATAAAATTATTACATTTGCTAAATTAAATTGAAAAGTGTAGCTTAGTCAGACAGTAATTTACTCATTGAATTGACTTACAAGCTGCTGAGCTTTGGGGGATGAAGCTAATAATAGGTTTTGCCAATTTATAAAAATCAGGGAAAAACTAGGGAACCAAAATAGTCTTCCTTTCTGGACTTATTCTGTAGCACCTGGATGATAGCTATAAATGGGTTCAATACTTGTTTTTCTCCTCTTCCGTACTCCTGTTTCTCTGGGACAGTCTAGGCTGGGGGACAGACATTGATCAAGTAGTCACACAGATGAGCCCACTGTTACTCTGAGAGGATCCTGCCCGGGCCTGGAGTTCAGGGAGGGCTCCTCTAAGGACATGACGTTGGAGCTGAGTTCTGCAGGAGGAGAACAGAGCTCATTCTAGGTGAAAGAATGACATATTTGAAATGTGTGGTTTTTCTAGAGCCCTGTGGAGGCCAGCATGGTTGGAGGGGAGATTTCCTGCTGGCAGAGATGGGGGGTCCCACAGATTGACTTGGTAAGGAGCTGGCTGTGGTGGAGAGGAGAGGAAGGGTCAGGATGTGTCCTGGATTCTGACATGAATATCTGGGTGGATGGGGTGTCTTTCTCTGAGGTCAGAGAGAGGCGGAGAGGAGCCTGTGGATGTCTGGGCAGGAATGCTGTGCAGAGTTCTGGGGCTTGGAGGAAGCAGCCAAGGGAAGCAGCATTTGGGAGACAGAAGCTTGGGGAGGTGATGGAAGCCATGGTCTGGGTGAACTTGTGCAAAGTGAAGCTTTGTCTGCAGGGAGGGGAGACTAGAAGGGTCTTTACCTCTTTTATCTAGTGGTCATCAAGAGGCCTACATTCTAGTTAGAGTCCTGCTGTTTAAGTGGCCATGTGGTATTGAGGAAGCTGTTCCTTTCTCATGTCAACAAATGTTAATTATGCCAGGCATTGTACTAAGTGCTAGGTATGCAAAGATGAATAAGACAAAATTTTCACCTTGAAATTAACAGTCTGCTGGGGAGACAGGAAAATATGTAGATTAAATTATTGAGTGGTTTAGCTCTGCCTTCAATTTGCTAATTTGTTAAGAGTAAAATAAAAGAGATTTAGGAAGTTCTTTTTATGTGATAAATCCTGTGGTATCTCATTTAATCCACCAGCAACACTGCGAGGTGAGTGTGACCGTATTCTGTTGAATAGCTTAAGCTTACCTAGCTAATAAGCAGCACAGGCAGGATTCTCACCCAGGTTTGTCTGACTTGAAACCCCCTGCCTGCTCCGTTATAACCTTTTCCCCAAATTATGTTTCTAAACTTTGGATTTATTTTATATATTAGAAAAGATGTAGGAATTTGAAGTGGTCAAGAGGTGGTCACCTAAAGGCAAATATGGTATTGTACTTGCATAGCAAGAGTAGTGAAGGAATGGGAGGTTTCCTGGGAACCAGTGGAAAGGTTTCTGTACGGATCTGCTTCCAGAACGCTGATGCTTGGATTTAAATACCAGTCTTTATGAATAGATTTGGTAGTGAGTCCAAGGCTCTGTCTCCCCTCGCACCTCTTCAGTGTTTTCATTGATGAAGACTTGGGTGAAATAGTATGCTGATTTCATTGATGGTTGATGTCAAGCTAGAAAATGCAGTTACTGTAATATGTCAGATCCAAATCAAGATTTGAAAAACAACCTCATCCTGGTAGAATGGTGATCAGAAATAAGCGAAATGCAAACAAGCGGAGATAAAGACCAACTTCTTCTACTAGGGTCAACTCCCCAAGTGTCTGATAGGAGATGGGGAGGTGGGGTTTAGTCAGCTGTTGGTGGGGATGGGGCTGCCAAGAGCGCAGAGCTCTTAGACTGTGTTGTCAGCAGTGCAGGTTCTAGAAAAAGGAAGCAAGAACTGCTCCCCCACTCCCCCCACAATACCTTTTGTGTTGAGGGGGCTGAGAATGGGTATATGTCACGCAGAAAAGAGAAATAGCTTACAGCGATCTTCAAATATTCTGCCAAAGGACCAAAGTAATACCAATGGGTATAAATGACAGGGAGCAGACTTTTGTTACATAGGAGGAAGAAATTCATAACATTCATTGTAGATGCTTTGAAAGGATTTGTATGTACATCACTTACGGACCCGTCAGGCTCTCTGCAGTTCTAAGGTTCTGAGTTTCATTGCTGAATCTTTGAATCTTTGGTCAGGCTGTCTTAAGAATTGTGATAACGTGAGAATATATTAAAGTGCTTTGGAAATGCATGGCATATGTTGTTATTATTTGATAATGTAAGTCTGGGATCTTTGGATGGGTTTCTAGATTAGATTCCATGAACTCCTCTGACACTGTATGCTAAATTGAGGGTTCCATGGTTCCACAAATACATATGTTCTCTGCACCTTGCTTAAGAAAACCAAAACCAAGACCAAAAACACAGGCAGTGGTCATCTTTCTCAGTCAGTTAGGAGTGTTTTGAGGTCTCTCCCCCAACATTGCTAATGATGTCATGGTTAGAGGGCACCGATAATTTCATGGTTCTTAGAGTTAGTAACAAAACAACCTTTTCTGCCTTGTCTAATATCTTTTTTTTTTTTCAGTAGAGAAGGGGTTTCACCATGTTGGCCAGGCTGATCTTGAACTCCTGACCTCAAGTGATCTGCCCGCCTCAGCCTCCCAAAGTGCTGAGATTACAGGTGTGAGCTACCATGTGTGGCCAGTCTTGTCTAATATCTTAGAATCCCATTTCTTGATCCTTTCTGTACCATTGGAAAATGTGACAAATATTCCTGTATTGACAAAAGAAGAACTTCTGTGTGTTGATACCCACATTCGAAGTTCCAACGTGTTAGTTCAAGTCTTAATAAGCAGGCAGTGTTTTGTTGTGAGTTGAAGTAAAACACATAGTGGTTTTAAATGCAGGGTTGCATGTTATCCTCCTTCAGTCTGATGATCGTGTATAGACACACCAGACCAGAGATGGGACTGTGGACCCGAGTTGGGAGACTTGACTCTGGTCTGAGCTCTGCTACCGTGAGCCTCCTTTGTGTCATTGGGCATGAGAGAATCTCTTTGGCGATTACATTCTGCAGTAGTGGTGGCAGTGGTAGCTGAGATTCTTGGTTCTTTCTGGCTTAGAGAGGAGTAGGCACTTGTTATGAAACAAGGGAAGAGTCTTTAGTGCCCACTTTTACTTTTGCCGTAAACGGGTTTTTATGCCGTTAGGAGAAGAACCTGACCAGAGTATGCATTCAGTATTATCATTGTCTTTACTTGTGTCTTCTGCAGGTGTGTACAGCAGCTCTGAAGTGTGTCCCACAGTGGCTTCTGGGTGGTGCCACTGGCATGTGGTGGGGAACCTCTGTGGTGAGGTGGAGTGGGCGCCCACTGCCCACTGTTCTGTGTGTGCCGTGACCAGGCGGGTGTGCGAGGGAGGAAGACAGGCTAGACGGCCGTGTTGCATCCACCTCCTGTTCTCCCTTTACAGAGAGCCAGAGTACTGTTTGTAATATGCTCAGGGAAAAACAGAGGCATTTTGAGCTATATTTAGACACCATCACAGAAAAGTAAACACAGATTGCTTCCCGATATGACAGCAACTATCTACAGGCCACTGTGGCTGACCCCGATCCTTATCGAGCTTGTTTCACATGGCTGTGATCTGTGTGCATCAGTATTGAAGAAATGGCACGTTACCTGACATGTCTTCTCTATGCCCGTGTGTAGTCCGCTGTGTTGGTGTGTTACGGCCGGGCCATGGATTCTTTACTTTTGCACAGTTGGGCTGTTCCATTTTTTCTCAATGAGTAGGTGGGCCCTGGGCTCCAGGTGCTGCCATAGCCCCTGTGACCTCTGAGAGCCTTTATAGCGCTGATGAATTTAATGTTCATAATAATTGCAAGGTGGGTTTTATTTCTCCTTTAGTGAATGAGAAAACTAAGAAATAAGGTCACAGTGTACTCGAGGTCCCTGGTGGGACAGGGCTGTGAATCCATTCTGAATCCAGAGCCCCTACTTCCTTGCTGGGCAGTGCCATTCGGTACACAGCTGCAGACGTGAATAAACACCCCCTGCCCTGTTTGAGCGAGAGAAATAGAACAGATTTCAAAAGTTTTCTTTAGTTACTGGTAAGAGAATGTTGTTTCCCGAACAATGGTTCAAAAGAGGGAAGAGTTTTCTATCAGCTCTTGTTTAATCCACATGTGTAGAAATGATTTTAGATCAACAAGATTCGATAGTTCTTTCGGTGGGTTTTCTTTGTTGTTTTTTTTTTTTTTTTTGTGAAGTGTTTTTCCAATTTGCGGTTGAAGGAATTGGGCTGAAAAAAGTAGTAAAATATGATATGCATAAAGATGTATCTAATAAACTGTGTTCTTAATTTGATATTTAGGAGCAAATACAATTAGATATCTTTTACTATAAATGCATGTGTAGGGATACTCTGAAAGCCTGATAACAGAGTATCTAAATATAAAAAGGATAAAGTATATTTAAAGTATACTAAAAGTATATAAGCAAGTTGTCCTTTAACTTGGATCATCTTGAAAAGGACAGTTGGATTCCCAGCCCAGCCTCTGAAAGCCTATCTGACATGTAATATAGCTGAATTGTGCTACCCAATATGCTTAGAAGAATCTATATACAAACATTTCTTAAAAATAGACAATGTATTTCTTCCTTAGAGAGAGAGAGAATAACTCCTACTTACATGTACATCCAAAAGTTTACTTTGAATAAGGAGGAGGAAAGTCTTATCAAGTAAAAAAATTGCATTAAAAGCCAAGTAACTAAAACCAGACTGGTTAGGTTAAGAGCTCTTTGAAAATGGTGGTGTATATATTGTGGCCTTCACAGCACTTGTCTTATTTTCTGGAATTGAAACTCAAGCTACAGCAGTTGTGGAATGCCATCTAGAAATGAAAACATGCTCGGACAATCTATTTAGAGAAGTTGTTGAGGGCTGTTTTCGATGTGGATGATAACCCTGATAGAGCATAAACTTTCAGTGAGAAATGAAAATGGTCATACCCGGATAGATGTTAAAAAAACATAAAATTGGCCAGGCGCAGCGGCTCACGCCTGTAATCCCAGCACTTTGGGAGGTCGAGGCAGGCGAATCACTTGAGGTCAGGAGTTCGAGACCAGCCTTGCCAACAAGGCAAAATCCTGTCTCTACAAAAAATACAAAAATAAGCTGGGTGTGGTGGTATGTGCCTGTAATCCCAGCTACTTGGGAGGCTGAGACATGAGAATCACTTGAACCCGGGAGGTGGAGGTTGCAGTGAGCTGAGATTGTGCCACTGCACTCCAGTCTGGGTGACAGAGCGAGACCCTGTCTCAGAAAACAAAACAAAACAAAAAACATAAAATTGCTTCAGGTTAGATGTGCGTATGAGAAGCAGCTTGGCCCTTTTGTTTTCCAGAAGTCTTAGATTTGATTTTTTTTTTTTTCTTTGAGATGGAGTCTTGCTCTGTCACCCAGGGTGGAGTGTGCAGTGGCACGATCTTGGCTCACTGCAACCTCTGCCTCACAGGTTCAAGCAGTTCTCCTGCCTCAGCCTTCTGAGTAGCTGGGATTACAGGTGCCCGCCACCATGCCTGGCTAATTTTTTGTATTTTAGTGGAGACAGGATTTCACCGTGTTGCTCAGGCTGGTCTTGAACTCCTGAGCTCAGGCAATCCACCTGCCTCAGCCTCCCGAAGTGCTGGGATTACAGGCGTGAGCCGCCGCACTTGGCCAATTTTTAGTTTCTTTAAGGGACTGGTAGTGAGAAGCAGGAGTTGAGACCCTCAGTTGTACATTTTTAATGCTCAAAAATAGAGGACACAGCAGGATGGATTTGGACTGTGGATGAATATTTAATAATAGACCATAAGGAGAAGTTAAAATTAAATAATTTGCACTGTATGAGTAACTGTTTTTCTATCTGAAGTCTCATTGAAAGATATTTGATGCATTTTGAGAGGTTCAGATAATCTGTGTATTTAATGCTTTCGATTTTCAGAAATCTGAGGGTTAAGCTAACATTTTTGACATGGTGCAAATTAACTGAATTTTAAGTAGGACTGTGAGAGTTGATGGCAGTGATGAGACAGATAATACAAAACAATTTTAGTCACTGATAAGATGAATTTGCTGCACTGTTATCTATAGCATTAAAACATAGACATTCCAATCATTTTCCCATTTAACATTTCTGCTTTAATTAAGGCAGTTTTGGTCGTGCACTATTTGAAGTGAAATAAGTAGACGTTTCCTGTGCCCTGGGCTGTCTAGATTGAATGTGAAGATAGGACTGCCTCAGGGCCCCGTATTGGAAATTCAGCCTGAAATTTGATTTACTCAGCCTCTCCATAGGTCCTTCATTCACTTGGCTGATTTTGAAATCACCAACTCAGCCTTGATTTTCATACTTCCATAAAAAGTTTTACCTTTTTCAAGAAAATCTAGAAAATAATCACATTTTATTTTTATCAGGCATAAATTCTAATTTAAATAATTATGAGAAAATGAATTCTTAGCCCTAGATTTTAGTTTTACTACAAATATATCAACATACATGTTTGTACACTTAATTATGAAGGCGGCTCAGGTTATGTAAAATCAGTATATTGTTTGGGCAAACAAATGTACTGTCGTTTAATTTCTATCATGTTAAGTCCAAACAATGTCTTGGCTGGTGAAAGTAGTAACAGTTTAAAATTGTATCACATGGTGAATTTTGAGCAGAAAAGTTGCTTGTAGGCTGTGGGGCCTGGGGCAAAGCACCCTCTTTCCTCCTGTGTCCTCCACAGAGCTTCATTCAGGTGAGATGGGTTCCTCCTGGCACAGTCCTGTGGATCCCTTGGGACTGAGCTCAGGTATTTCCTATAGGAAGCCTTTGTTAAAGCCCATGGCAGACCCAGTGAGACACCCTCTTCTCACCTTGCCTTGGTGCTTTGTCCCTTCAGGACATCTGCTGTGTTGCACTGTGACCTGTTTAGTCTGTCTCCTTCAGTGAATCTCCAGGACATGGAGGCTCGTTCATCCTTCTGCTTCCAGTGTTGGGCACAACGCACATAGTAGGTGCTTAGTAAATGTGTGGTGAATGGATTCACCAAATCTTTAAAGTGAACACCAGAGTATTGAGGAAGGCAGAGAAGGGGAAGGACCCGTGCAGCCTTGGAGTGGGAGTGCCAGTGGAAGAGAGGACTGGCAGTTCTCGGGGTCTGTGCTCCTGCCTTCCATCTTCACCTCCCCTCCGTCCCTCCTCTTCCAGCCTCAGCCCTCACCTCTGCAGCGAGACTGTCCTTGCCGAGCACAGCAGTGGCCTCCTTGTCAAGTATAGCAGAAGCCTTTACCCTTCACCTGACTGCATTCCTGGGCTGCATTTGGCACACCTGTTTCGTTGCTACACCTGACTCCCTTCCCTCCTGTAAGAGCACACTCTCCAGAGTGTCTACATTTTCTGGCCATTCTTCCAGCTTGTCTGTGGGTTCATTTTCCCTTTTCCCTTAAGCGGTGATATTCTCTAGGATTCTGTTCGCTACCCATTGTTTTCCTTTCATATATTCCTCCTAAATAAAGTTCATGGGTTTTATTGCTTCCTATTGATTAATTCATCAATTAATGTGCTGGGTACACTGTTCAACTTATGCCCTGGAGATATAATAGTGAATAAAATAGAGAAAATCCCTGCCCTCTGGGAGTGGATGTCCTCTCTGCTGACTTCTCTACCTATTTTTCCAGGTCAGGCCTTACTCCCCAAGCTGCAGCTCATTATGTCTCTTCCTTCTGGGCATTTTCACCTGGATTTCATATCAGAGCCTCAAGTTTCCTATGTAAACCACTGAAGGCTCCCACTCCTGGGGATATGGTGATTGGCTTCTCCCTCTGCACACTCCATCTCATTTGGCTGCTGGCTTCCATCACTCATTTGGTCTCCAAATCCTGCCGCATTTCCCTTCTAACTGTGCCTTGGAGCTGGGCTTGCTTCCTCCCACCACTGCTGCCAGTTCAGGACCTCAGCCTCACCTGCCTGCCAGGGCAACCTGACCTGCTTCCAGCTGGGTCAGGTGCCCAAGGGAGCAGTCCTGTGTTCATCTGTCAGAGGCAGCCTGAGCCTGTAGAATGCCCTGCAGGGCTCACCCATGTTCTGGCTTCTGCCTGCTTCAGCATCTTCGTAAATTCGTGCTTCACGTGGATCCAGATGGTTTTTATTTCCTGATACACACCAGGCAGTTCATCTCCCTTGACCCAGTGCCTTGTGCTGTTTCTTCTGCCCTGTGGTACTGTACATGCTGTTCCCTCCCACCTTGGACGTGTTATTCCCCTTTATCCTGGTAATTCTTTTTTTTTTTTTTTTTTTTTTTTTTTTTGAGATGGAGTCTAGCTCTGTCTCTCAGGCTGGAGTGGCACAATCTTGGCTCACTGCAGCCTCCGCCTCCTGGGTTCAAGCGATTCTCCTGCCTCAGCCTCCGGAGTAGCTGGGATTATAGGCGTGCACTACCATGCCCAGCTGATTTTTGTATTTTTAGTAGAGACGGGGTTTCACCATGTTGGTCAGGCTGGTCTCAAATTCCTGACCTCAACTGATCTGCCCGTCTTGGCCTCCCAAAGTGCTGGGATTACAGGCATGAGTCACCATGCCCGGCCTCTTTTTTTTTTTTTTTTTCAAGAGACAGGGTCCCACTGTGTTACCCAGACTGGAGTGGAGTGGTGTGATCATAGCTCACTGCAGCCTCGAACTCCTGGGGTCAAGTGATCTTCTTGCCTTAGCCTGAACAGCTCGGACTATAGGTGCCTGCCACCACGCCTGGCTAAGTTTTTAATTTGTTGTAGAGACAGGGTCTTGTGATGTTGCCAGGATGGTCTTGAATTTACCCTGCTAATTCTTAAGCCTTCCTGAAAGTCCCCATGTACTTACCTCAGTGTGAACGCAGCATCTGGCACACAGTTGGGATCAGTATGTGGTTTTGGAAGGACAGAGGAGGGAAGGAAGGAGCTGCTGGGTGAATGCTGCCTGCTACTGTAGCACCGGGTGAGGGCCTTTCTACCTATTGCTTTGTTCCTTTGACGTCCCAGGACATGAAGGGCTGAGGCTCCACGCCTAGCCCTCCTGTATGACCTCGGCCCTGAAGCCCAGGGCCTGACTCACCAAACCAAAAATAAAATTCAACATCTACTTGTGAACTGGTTGTGTTTGGTAAGATGCTGACTTACATGGGGAGAGGTGCTGTGACTCATAGTCTGAGTGCTCATCCCTACACACTGCTGGTCTCTGAACAAAATCTTTACCCTGGACATATGCATGATCTAAAATCTATCTTTTCACTTTTTAATGAACACTCGGTTGCACTAAGGTTTGATCAAGACTTGCAGACTCAGTTCTAAAATAAAATCATTGTTCTAAGAATACTTTGAAGGCAGAAAATGTTAATCACTCAATACCCTCTGCTCTTATTACTAGTAAGCTAAAAGGAGGTGGGTGAGCTTAACTATCATGCTCTTTTCCTGTACGCATAATAGAATTTTAGATGCAAATGTTTTCTCTCTGCTTATGGTCCAAAATCGTTTTTAGTTTTGTTTAGTCTAGAGCTCTCTTAGTTGTTAAAAACTCCTAAAAGTAAAAAATAAAATTTCTTGTATCCATCTAGGTTTTTTCTTTAATGTCTTGCTGGATGTTTTGTCAGGTCATTGTTTTTAATATTTTTAAAACTTAAGGATAGTTGTGTTATTAATGCATATGTTGACATAACACAAATTTGTGCCTTTGTAATAAAGAATGAATTAATAAACCGACTTCTTTTATGTCTTCACAGGGCAGCCCAATGGATCCAATGGTGATGAAGAGACCTCAGTTGTATGGCATGGGCAGTAACCCTCATTCTCAGCCTCAGCAGAGCAGTCCGTACCCAGGAGGTTCCTATGGCCCTCCAGGCCCACAGCGGTATCCAATTGGCATCCAGGGTCGGACTCCCGGGGCCATGGCCGGAATGCAGTACCCTCAGCAGCAGGTTTGTGCTGGTCCCCCGACCCGCTGCTTTTTTGTAATAGTTTTGTCTTTGCCTTTTGCTGTCCACCTAAGATTGATGTTAAAGAGAATTAGGGGGCATTGCACGGATTTTCTGCTTTAATTTTTATTGTTTCTTTAATCACAGGTATAATTTTTTTTTTCTTTTAAAGATGGAAAGGTGAGCTTCTTAAAGTGGACAGAATACCTGTTTGGTAGAAGGGCAGCAGGACCAGCTGTATTTGATAGGTGCACTGTGTCATAAATTTGCAGCAGGTTATAACAGATGTAAGCTCTGAAGTGAACTTGGCATTCCAACATTTTTGTCAGACTGTGTCAGATTTTGAGCTGTGAATAGACCATCTTAAGGTGAATTTTCAAGTCATTTAAAGGTCTTTTCCATGAGGATGGCATCAAGTTTTTAAAATTGAAAAAAAAAAAGTTTAGTCTCCCAAAGTTATTTTGCTTTCATTTCTTAAATTATTTCTTCTGTACCTTTTGAAAAAGGTTTCTGTATTTCATATAAGAGGATTTGATGTGCATCTGTTTTGTTAGGTCTTGATGGGTTTTGTGTTTTTACTTAAAAAAGACTTTTCCTGTTCTTAAGAGACCCAACATTTTCCTTTTTTTTCTCTGGAATCAAATGGAGTCACCTTAGATGACCATTTACCCTCTAGCAGTGGTAAACCTAGTCTTTTGGATACTTGAAAGAATACCCCTTTATGCTGGCTGGAGGGAGGATGAAATTTGGAAAAGACTAAATTAGATTCAAACTTGTTAGGGTATTTAGTTACTAGGAGCACCAGAAAGGCTTATTTATAAATCGCCATACCGTACCTAAGCCGCCAGGGAGTGGGTCAGGCTGATGCTGCTGCACGTTTTACTGCCCCAGGCTGGGGCGTCCCATGGTGCGGCCGTCGGTAACCCACAACAGGGCTTGACAGTGCTGTCTCAGGAAATGCTTCCATCTGACCAGACATCTTTCGTTGAGGGGCAAAAATTAGATATGACTACTGTTCTCTCTGATGTGGATATGGAGAATGATTGATCATACTTTACATGATACATAGCTGTATATTAACAGTTCATCAGTAGGTTGCTTCTGAGCCTTCTCGTTTATACACTATTCGATCTGTATTGTGATTTATTATTTGTTTCATTATTATTGTTATTAATTTATTATTGAAGTTTATTTTAATTATAATATTGTGTAAGTCTATGTTATAGTAGCATGGCATGGTGGCACCCTCCTGTATTTCCAGCTATTCGGGAGGCTGAAGTGGGAGGATCGCTTGAGCCCAGGAGTTTGAGTCCAGCCTAGGCAATGTATCGAGACCCTAAAAAAAAAAGAAATAAAATAAGTCTTTTATTTATAAAATAAGAAATAAAATGTTGTCTTTCCTCTTTATCTTTGCTCCCACTTGGATGATTTTGTTTATGTTAAGGCCATTATTGGGGAAGATAGAGGTAGCTCAGCCTTTGAATCCTAGTTGCAGATTGAACACCCTTTGCTGTTGTCAGAGACCTCACTTCTCAATTATTGAAGGTTACCCACTCCGAATTCTAGCAGTCAGTTGCATACTTAATTGTACTTTTAATTTTTTCCACATTATTCCTTTTTTTCCAGCAATATTTTGCTGCCTAGAGTAGAAATCTTTAGTTGTGGCTGCTAATTGTGAGAAGGAAATAATTTGTAAATGATGAAAAGTAAGGTGGAAGAGTTGCGATTTTCTCTCCTTCATTTTAGTTTTAGAGCAGCTTCACCATTAGTTGAGAGGAAGACAGCCCAGGCAGCTGGCTGCTCAAGTCCCCATCGCACTCTGTTGCTGATTTTATGTGGGAGCTAATAGTTGTGGATGGTGCTTTGGCCACAGGAAGAGAGCAGAGGTGGGAAGGTAGTAAGAAGTAGTGGGACCGGCAGAGAGAAGTGGATGCTCGCTGCTCTTGGGCTCCCCACTTTGCTTTTCAGCATGTTTCCCTGATGTGAGATTAAAAAGTCAGTTTCAAAAGATGCTGTTCACGGCAAGCAGCCGGATCTCCCTGGTCTCTGAAGGAGTTAAGTCTCACTAGAAGTTCTAGATGTTGGCTTAGTTTCCAGTCCCAAAGTGGGAGTCAAACAAATGGAGAGGGTGTGTGAAGAATGATTACCTAGGAAATGTTTTTAATTATTTTCTTTTCTAAATGTGTAAAGCTAAAAGTAGAGGACATACACAGATATATAGAGTAATCTCAATTTTCTTAGCTTCTTCCATTTATTTAATCCCTGTGACTCTTATACACTTTTTAAATCCAATGACTCTTAGATTTATTTGAAGGGACAAATTGATGTAGGTTGCCCATCAAGTATTTCAGCAAATTTTTAATTAAGATTTTAGATTGGATATTTTACTGCTAACCAAAAGAAATACCCAATTCTAATTAAGCACAGATCTTTCTGATAATGAAAGGAAAATAGTATATCTGGTAAGAAATTGAATATCCTGGCTGCAGAAGTGTGGAAACTTTCATAATGAGTTAATCAAAGTCATGGGTCTAAATAATCTGTATTGCCTTTTTACCTTTTCATTTAGTTAAATACAGCTTTGAAATATAGTATCTTGTTTTAAAATTTAAAAGGCTAAAAATAACAGAATGCACTTTTGAATGTGTATAACATTTTAAAGAAGACATACAGCTTTTATAATACCAAGGTCATGTGAACAGTTCTTAATTTTTGAAATGGAAAAAAATAGTGAAGATTTAGAGCAAAGGTTATTAGAGCATATACATTCATTTTGTTAGCTTGAGTCTGTGTTCTTTGGGGAGGAATTTTCAGTGAATTGCTTTGTTTCTGCATTTTGGATAATTATAAATTTGTTCACAAACAGGGTCCTGGCACTGTGATTGGCTGCTGGTCCCATCCATCTTCCCCTAGGATTAATGTAATTGGCTAAGCATTGTTGTAGTTGTGGCTAATAATGTTCTTCAGGGAAAAAGTTGAAAGATAATTATGACATTGAGTATTTATTGAGTGGACATCACCACCTAGGCATGACTTTGCTTTGGATGGCTTCCAGAACGTTCTGTGTTTGGTTTGTGAACCTCTAATGAGCTGAATCCAGTTCATTTAATATTGCTCGTATATTTCTGCACAGGATTAAAATGCAGGAATTCAAGTTTGTAAATTGAGTTGCCCACTTACCAGCTGAGTGGTAAGTTGTCTTTGGCTCAGGGGTCACAGTTTGATTCCTGGCTGGCGTTCTGCTCCTGTGATATGAATTTTAAATGAGTATTTTGTTAGAAAGAACTGCAGTGCTGATGTGAAATTTAACATGGAGAGGAGTATCACTGTTTATTTTTTGTCTCTGAGAGTCTGAAGGAACTGGCCACTGACTGTGTTTGATTTTAGTATTACCCTGGTGATCTTTGATTTGTATGGTGATAATTTTGTTTTTGAGATATACTCGTGACTGGATCTTTGAAGCATGACGTGATAATAGTACATCATTTTAGTCTTTATTAACTGGAACTAGATTTGTGGTCTTTCACTTGCCAGTTCTCCCACATCATCAGGCAAATACATGGCTAAACAGATTAGTTTTGCACGGTGCCCTAAAAACTAGTCTACTTGGGTTTTTGTTGAGTTCAGGGGGGAAATGAATTTTCTATGCCTCTGTGGAGAATATTCTGCCTCCAGGCTTCTGGAATTCAGACATGGGGTTGGTTAACAGAAGTACATTGGTTGATTTCATCTATTAGACAGCTACACAGAAGAGGCATAATTTTTAAGGTTACTAGAATCTGACTCTGAGTTTTTCAGATTAAAAAAAAAACAAACCTTAAAGACACCAAGATATTCTTTGCTGGATCAGGAATGCAGGTTTTGTTTCATTTTTCTTATCCTTCGTGATCATAAATGTACACCTAGGCCTTTACCAACTTGTTTTAAATAAGATTTTAATATAAAACGGCACCCAGGAGAAATAGCTTACAGAAGCTGAGTTATTTATTTGTGTCAAGCAGATTTCAATTATGTAGACTGAGATTTTTCCTGAGTTTTTTTTTGTAATTGGGTTGATATTTTAACTATTCTTGCAGGTGTTTGATAATATGATGCCTGTTGGAATTATAAAACAGGGCAAAAGGAAAAAAAGCAAAATGAGAGATTGAAGTTCATGAGTGCTTTTATGATGGGAAAACATGACTTTTTTAGTTTTTAAAGGCATACATGTATTGCGAAGAACTTTATAGCAGGAACATAGAATATGATCATTGTTTTGAAATAGAAAATGGCAAAATTAAATATAAACTAATTATTTTTGTTAAGGTGATTCATCTGAACTTATTACTTCATATTGAAGTAAAAACAATTCAAAACAGGTTTCCTTGAAGAGGGCTTGAAAAAGATTTGTATTCTAATTTTGCTGCATGTTTTTTGAGTAAAATATTTATTTCAGAACATAAGCATTTTATTTGGTACCCTCTTAACAGCCAAAACACTTCTTCCAATGCAAATGTTTATTTTGGCAGCAGATGTTTCTAAAAAGGAGACAAACATTACAATTGTTTGGCTAAAATAAATGTTTCCTTTGGGGTTATTAAGGCAGCCAGGCAATTTCTAGGGTTTCCACCTGTGTTAATTTATATTGTTGATCTATTCTGGAAAAAAATGTGTTTCTTTTAAATGTAATTAAAGCCACGTTTTGATATAGTTTGCATGAGAGCTCTGAAAAGTAAGGATGAATGGGGAGAGGAAGACTGGTTTAAGACTTAAAAATTCCAGAGTTTTTCATCATGAAATGTTTATTATGATTCAATCTTTGAATCCTAAATATGAATCCAATAGTCAGGGCTTAATTTTTGTTTTATTTAAAAAAGAGCCTAGACTTCCTATGTTTGCGACTGTGATGGTGTGTCCAGGATGAGAAAGGATAGATAACTTGACTAAGTATAATGGAGAGGAATGGGTGCCTGGTGCCTGTTTTACATTCAGACTCTTAATTTTTTGAGTCTCTATATTTACTTAAAGATGCCCATTCATATCTGTGTGCACATGTACGCTCCCACATGTGTGTAAAAAACAGAACATTCATGTGACAATGGCATTCTTGTGTAATGAAACGTGTATATGTATATTAATTTATATGTTAAACATATTTGTAGATATACATATATAAACACACAAATGAAATGAAGGTGAACATTTTGGCCAGTAAAATAATGAAATGCTATGAAATTTCACTATGTTGTTTACAGCATTTTCATACATTCGTGTTCTGTACTGAGACTTGGAGCCGAGCTGATTTGCTTGTACACCTGAAATGTTTGGAGGCCCTTCAGCAGATTGCAGATTTTTATAAATAATGGCCTTTCGTTGGCCACATTTTGTCATGGTTTCCTCAGTTGTTCTTCAGCAGTGAACATGAAGGTATTTAAGGTTTACCAGCAAAATACATTTATACCTCACATTTCTGCTTCCAAGTAGATAGCAGATGCTACTGGCTGTGATGCCAAAGCTCCCTGTAGATGGAGTTTTGTACTAAGAAAATATTTTTGGGCCGGGCGCGGTGGCTCACGCCTGTAATCCCAGCACTTGGGGAGGCTGAGGTGGGCGGACCACGAGGTCAGGAGATAGATAGAGACCATCCTGACTAACACAGTGAAACCTTGTCTCTACTAAAAAAATACAAAAAAATTAGCCGGCGTGGTGGCGGGCGCCTGTAGTCCCAGCTCCTCGGGAAGCTGAGGCAGGAGTATGGTGTGAACCCGGGAGGCGGAGCTTGCAGTGAGCCGAGATCTTGCCACTGCACTCCAGCCTGGGTGACAGAGGGAGACTCTGTCACAAAAAAAAAAAAAAAAAGAAAATATTTTTGAAAAGATTTGTAAATTCCTATAATACCTAACTGGTTTTGTGTACTTTTTATATTGTATTTGGGTTTAAACATATTTGAATTGTGACATTCTTGGAATGATATGTTAGAAGAGATCATATTTTAAGTTAAATAAAGATTTTTAAATCTTTAGCCTTTTTCCGAAAAGTGAGAGAAGATCAGATTTTACCTGAAAGTTTAATGAGAAAATGTGAGATGATTTCATTTTAATATGGAAAGCTGCTTTTATATTAGGATGTTTATATTGATACATTTATTTTTTATCTGTACATTTACATTATTCTCGATTTTCTAAGCTTATATACAGTATATAGCGCCTAGTACTCTGCTGGTAGTTTATACTGTTTTGTCATGTACACATGAGTTCCACTATGTATTTTACATATAGACTTTCAACCTAAAATATCTGTAAGGTTTTCTATTTTACTTTTGAGATGTAAATCTTAAATGTATGTTTTATTTTTATTTTTTAGAGACAAGGTCTTGCTCTGTTGCCCGGGCTGGAGTGCAGTGGCATGAACATGGCTCACTGCGGCCTTGACCTCCTGGGCTCAAACAATCCTCCCACCTCAGCCTCCCAAGCAGTTGGGACTACAGACATGTGCCACCATGCCCAGCTAATTTTTAAATTTTTTTGTAGAGACGTCTCACCATGTTGCCCAGGTTGGTCTCGAACAAGTGTGTGTTTTAGGTAGCACTGAATGAGTATATTTTAAATAAGTGTGATTTATTTGCTTTCACCAAAGAAACATTAAGCATGGTATTTATGTTAAAACGTTAATAATTCAAATAAAGGTAACAGTCGACGTCAGTAAAATGAACCAACCATATCCCTTCAGCGCTCCTTGGAAAACAAACACTGAACAACAACGGAAATCCCACAAGATAAATGGAAAGTTAAAGTGATTAAGTGACGTATCTTAGACAAGTGGTTCTCAAACTTTGCTGAATGTTAGAGTCTCCCGGGGCATTAAGAAAATCCCCCCACGGATGCCCAAGGATGCCCATATCAATGACACCTGACTGTGAAGGCCCTAATCTCCCGTGACTGCCCTGTGAGTCAGGGTATTAGAGGGAGGCTACGTGGGCAAGCGGGGGCAGCTCACACCTTCTGGAGACTTGGTAGTGATGCTGGTTCTTGGCCCACTCGGTGAATCAGAAACTCACCACTGACCCAAAGGAATGAAATGGGCCCAGAACCAGGAGCTGGGATGGTTGAGTCCTTGCCTGTTAAAGTCTAATCTGTGTGTGATACTGGGAAAATCTGGATCTCACTGTGCTCCTCTGCCAGATGAGGGGGTTGGACTATAAGACCTCTCAGCTTGGATTTCCCCTTTAAAGTAATATTAAGTGAATGTCTTTTCATTTCAGTATTAGATTTTTGTTTGTTTGTTTGACATGGGGTCCTGCTGTGTCACCCAGGATGGAGTGCAGTGGCACGATCACGGCTCACTGCAGCCTTGACCTCCTGGGCTCAGGTGATTCTCTCACCTCAGCCTCCTGAGTAGCTGGGACTACAGGTACATGCCACCACACCCAGCTAATTTTTAATATTTTTGTAGAGACAGGGTTTTGCCATGTAGCCCAGGCTGGTTTTGAACTTCAGGACTCAAGCGATCCACTTGCCTTGGCCTCCAAAGTGCTAGGATTACAGGCATGAGCCACCATACCCAGCCTCAGCATTAGATTTTAAAGTCTTGTTATTTCAGCAGTCTTGTGAAATGTATGGGTTGATGCTTGACAAATTGTATTAAGATAACTACTGACCCACATTCTTTTTAAAAGAGAAAGAGGTGTTTCTTTCTTCTTCAAAGATTAGCAAATTGTTGGTATCAGTCTAATAAATTATTTTCTAATTCTTAATTTTATTGTTTTTTAAATGAATGTATTCTCATGTAAGTCTTTGTTCTGCAAGAACCTGGTATGTGTTAGATGTGTAGAGTGCAGTCTGTCCTTTTTGATAAGTAGAAAATCTTAAGGTTGACATTCTTGGAATCACAAAAGGAAGCAAAGAGAGATCTAGCAATTACTCATTTTTAAGACATTGCTACTTTCTAAGTAGTTCTGAAAACAAGTATATATTGAACAACATTGGGACAGATTATATAAAGTGAAGTCCGGATGGAAACACGTTTCAAGATTTATGTTCTGTGCATTACCTTAACTCTTTAACTCTCATGAGGTAGGCTAGATGGCTTTGTTTTTGTATTTTAAAAAGGTTTTTTTTCTAAAGGTAAAAAGTTTTTCTTTTATGTTAATAGCCAGCCAATAGTTAAATTCTTAATGGCAAAAAATTCTTTATGGCAGTTTGATTATTTTTACATGTAATAAATTTATTAAAGCTATTTGCCCTTATTATAATTTTGAAAAGGAACTTTAAAAGTTAAATCTGTAGTTGTGAATGAAATTAAGAAAACTCTTAAGCTGAGAGGGTGCAGAGGAAGAAGATGGGTGGGAGCATGTGAGGCAAGTAGGGGATTATAAAGAAGCAGCAGCTTTATAATCTGGCTCTCCTCCGCAGAGCCAGAGAGCCTTGCTTAATCCAGGCTTCCTCAGGCCTCGAGAGCAACTCTGCAGTTGGACTCAAGTTTAGAAATGTTTGGGACGTCCTGGATTTGAGATCTGAATGTGGGTAGTGTGCGTGTATAACACAAACATCCCTTGCCTGCTTAAATAGCCCCAATCCAAAATTTTGGTCACTAGATAAACAGCAGGAGTTACCCAGCTTCCCAATTCTTATGGAGAAGTGTGTTTAATTTAGAAAGCAGACCATATTCCAAAGAATGAGCCAAATTCATCTCCCTTTATTGATATTGACTTGGTAAGAGCATGCTTATTTTATTTTATTTTATTTTTTTTAAATAACTACCAAGCAAACCAACCAGTAGAATTGGCTCTTCAGGGTTAGTCAAAGGCAAGGATCCAAGTCAAGATCTATAAAACACCAAACATTCAGAAACAAAGTCAGACTAATGTTAATAGCAAAAATACGCAGGTATTAGAATTAAAATGCAAAAACCTGTCATTGCTGAGGTAATTAAGTTTTACTTAATGGTCCTGAGACATGGTATAACCAGCCTCACTTGGATAGTTGTAGTAGCTAGTCCTCAAGAGAGCTGGAGACAAACGTCTTTTGGAAGAAAGCTTCAGTCTGAGATGCACCACAGAAAAGACAGCTGTGCAGGGATGGTTTTCCAGCCTGAGCTGCCAACGATAGCGAGAGCGTACCTGAAAGCAAGAGCTCTTAAAACGCTCTAAGTCACCGAAGCCTGTCGGTGGGAATGGGAGGATGGGGGAGGGATAGCATTAGGAGAAATACCTAATGTAAATGATGAGTTGATGGGTGCAGCAAACCAACATGGCACATGTATACCTATGTAACAAACCTGCATGTTGTACACAGGTACCCTAGAACTTAAAGTATAATAATAATAATAATAATAATAAACAAAAAAAACCGCTCTAAGTAAGGATTAGATGTTTCTTTATAATCAGTATCATAATCATTGTTTCCAAAGAGAACTGGGAAAAGGTAAAGCCCAGAATAATTATTGGCCTATGGGATCTGTGACCTCAGATACTCTCTTAAAAGGGTCAGCCAACAAGGAGGCTTCCCTTTTTTTCAATTAGTATATTACCTTGAGATTTCCAGTAGGATCTTCAGGCATCCCAATAGTCATTTTCCAGACATCTTAAGGATTTACATCTCTGGAGGTTCTCCTCAGTGTCCTGGGCTTCATGGAGAAATAGGGCCTGCCTTCTTTTCTTCCTACTTGTGGGTCCTGTGCCATTCGTTAGGGGTCATGGAGATGACAAGGTCTTACTCTTCAGTAATTGGCCAAAATTTGATGGTTAGTGTCTTAGTTTCTTTTCTGTTGCTGTAAAAAAAATCACAGACTGGGTAATTTATAAAGAAAGGAAATTTATTTCTTATAGTTCTGAAGGCTGAGAAGTTCAAAGGCATGGTGTTGGCCTCTGGTGAGGGCCTTTTGCTGCTTCACAACGTGGTGGAAGGCATCACAGGGTGAGAGGGTAGTAGCGTGCTGGCTCAGATCTCTCTTCCTCTTCTTATAAAGCCTTGAGTCCCATTGTAGGGAACCTCATTCTGATGACCTTATCTAATTAATTCCTGAAGTCCCTACCTCCAGTCAACATATGAATTTGGAGATTAAATTTTCAACACATGAAATTTAGGGGATACATTCAAATCACTGAGCAGTTGGGGAGAGGAGGAAAGACTAGAATCCCCTTCAGCTGCCAGGAAGAGCTAATCTCTTTCTCCCCTAGTGTCTCTGGCTGAGTTCTCACCCATTCTTCTTCCTCCTTGGCGTCAAAATAAAAGGATGGGAAGAGTGATAACTTAGTCACATCACTGGCCCTTAGTCTTCATGGCATCTGATGTATCACAGCACACTTCCAGGAATGGCGGTTAAGGGGTGCTTCACTGCACATACGCAGCAGGCCGTGAGAGTGATAAGCACACAGTGGAGAGTGAGACATGAGGCTCCAGGAGGGATTCCAGCTCTGACCAGGAAATCACCACTGCTGCTGAAAGCCACCAAGGTCTGGCAAGGAGCATCATGCAGTGTGCTTACTTCCAAATCAAACTCTGCTATGATCTAACAAAGAATTTAAGTCACGTGAATGCACGCAGGCTGCAAGAGAGGCTGCGAATTTGAGTTCGGATTTCTAAATTTCGGAGGCAGAACTTTGTGGTTGTTAACTCTTTGTAGGGAACACAGAATTGTTCTCGACAGTTCCAAAGTTTTTCTTGTGTAGAAATTTCCCTCTTCAGTGTCGCCTCCTGTAGTTTTCCTGTCTCAATACCTGGTAGCTTCTTCCTTCCCACCGTCTGGGCCACAACCCCTCCTCTGTTTCTCAGCCTTTAAATCTTTTTCTTGGCTTTTCTCAGCCTTTTTCATCTGTTCTGACCTTTGCGTTTCCTTTTCCTCCTGCTGGGAAGTCTTGCAGGGCTTGCTATCTGAGTTCCTTGAGACATTTCTCTGACTTAAGTAAAATTGCACACTCCCACTGCCTCCTGCCCTGTTCTGTTTTCTCCAGCTCTCTTATCCCCTCCTGAACCTCACTTGTCTGATCCTCCCGTTAGAACATATGGCCTAGGCCGGCAGGGACTGTTTTCCACGGGTGTGGACCCATCGTCTAGAGCCGTACATGGCATTTCACAAACATTTCCAAACTACTAATGAAGAAGTTGCCGAATCCTAGACTCTGGCCAGTGAAATCTGTCCAGCTTGATGCAAAAATGTCTGTGTGCTTTAGCCGTGTTATCTGCCACCCATGGTTCGCTCCGAGATTAGGCTCATTCTCCAAAGCTTTCATAGTTTTCACTAGAATCCCGGTGCCCAGGTGCTCTGAGAACAAAGCCTGCAGACAGCTATGGGGCTGTGTTTTTAATGCTGCTTTTAGATTCCTAAGGAAGTTTTGATGCCTGAGAGATTGTTCTAGCTGAGTGGTTTTCTGTCTTGCTGTCTTGCTGTGTCATGTCCGGGGTCTGTGTTTCTTCCTCTCTGATTCTAACCCCATTGAGTAAATTGGAGATGGCTGCTACTCTGCTCTAAGGCCCATTATGTCTCAGAATGATCCCTTGCACTGGGTGTAATACCTCAGTCTGGAGAAGGTTGAGTTGGATTTGGTGTACCTGTGATGGGAGCTAGGTTCTTCATCCCAACACCAGTCATTCAACAGTGCTTACTGAAGAAAGTCCCCAAGTAGTTAGGATGCCGTACATACAAAACAGATGTTTTTCTGTTAGGGATTTGCTGCTGGAGGGAAGAGAGTTCTACCACATGTGGTGGAAGAACAGGGCCTGGAAGATGGGCTTTGAGCCTCTGTAGTGAGAGCACAGTTCACATCCATGTTTGTGCTGGGATCACGGAAAGGGCTTTTGATGGCATTTTAGTTCTCTGTCGCTGATCATTTGGACCCAGACTTGATTTTCACAGTGCTTTATGGGGGCTGCTGCCATTATGCATACACTGCATCGTAGCCCATTTCCAAAGCAGAGGTCATGGCTACGGCTGGAATGAGAGTTGCACCTCGGAGTAGAGGAATGAAATTTAGGTTGAATTCTTAAAAATCATCCCTGTGTGCTTTATTCTAGTTGAGAATCTTTGATAGACATATAATTTTGATGATGATGATGACAGGAATCTAGTGCCTTCATGTAAACTGTCACCATCACAATTGTCTCCTCTCTGGACCCAATTTCTTATTTGTAAATATGAGAAGTTGCCTCTGGATGACAGTAACAATAACAGCAATCTCTGTGCCAGGTCTTATGCTAAGTACTTTTACATGGATGTTCTCCTTTAATCCCTGCCATGTTTCTATTTATCTCCATTTTATGAATAGTAATAGTAGCTCATGTTTATTGAGGGCTTACTCTGGGTCAGGCACTTACTTGTTTTGCTTGTTTTATATGGATTAACTCACCCAGTCCTCATAACAGCCTCTGAGACAGGCATTGTTATATAGTCATCCTCATTTTACAAATGAGGAGGCTAAGGGGAGGGGTTACTCAGGCTGTTCAAATTTACATGCCTACTAAGTGCTATAACAAGCATTTCAGTTCCTTAGCGCCTGAACTCTGGGCGCACGCTAGCACTGTTTTATGATTCTGGTAAAGCTGGAATCCTTGTAACTGACACTGGAGTTCCTTTGAGTTTTTAAATAATAAGACTGATTATAATTAAAGTAGCCTCATTTTGACATTGAATATTCGTTTCACGTAAAGTCTTTTGTGACCTTTAACAATTTGAAAATTGAATGTTACCTACTACGTCTATCACACTTAGAGGAATTTTTTTGAGGGGAAATTCACATAACATAAAATTAACCACTTAAAAATGTACAGTTCAATAATGTTTACTGCAGTAATAGTGTTGTACAACCACCTCCTCTGTCTAGTTCCAACATTTTCACCACCCCCAGATGAGACCCCTGGATTCATTACGTAGTTACTCTCTGTTGTCCCTCTTCCCCCCAGGCAACTGCTAACCTGCCTTCTACCGCTGGATTTACCTGTTTTTGATGCTTCATGTAAATAGAATGATATAATATGTGACCTTTTGTGTCTGGCTTTTTTCAGTTAGCATACTGTTTTCAAGGTTCATCTCTTGTGGCACGTTCCAGCACTTCATTCCTTTCTATGGCTTAATAATCTGTTGGATATATGCATCACATTTTGTTTATCCATTCATCCATTGATAGACATTTGGGTTGTTTCCACCTTTTAGCAATTGTAAATAGTGCTGTTATGAACATTTGTGTACAGGTATTTGTTTGAATACTTACTTTCAATTATTTTGAGTATATACCTAGGAGTAGAATTGCTGGATCATGTGGTAATTCTATATGTTAACTTTTTAAGGAAGTGCCAAACCATTTTCCATAGTGGCTGTACCATTTTACACTAGAAACAGGATTTTATCATTGGTCTGTTATTTACTGAGACTCTTAAGTGCCAGGGAATCTTGCCAAACCCTTTTCATATATCATTTCCTATAATTCTCGCCAAATCCATGAGGTAAGTAATACTACTCACTTTGCCAGTGGGGAAACAGAGGTTAGGTAGCTTGCCCAAGCTGATACAAACTCTAAGTAGAGAATTCTGCCTTTCTATTAGATAGTAGCCTTAAAGATCCTCCAGACCAGCCTTGCTGTGTGTGCAACACATTCCACTGGTGTTAGGCAAGGTCATTTTGGGTGGCACATAGACACAGCATTACATAACCTGGAGTTCTAGAGTAGGGTAGTTGTTCTCTCATTGGTGTTAGTACGCGGTAGCACCCTTCCAACACTTCATAGTGCCTCCCACCCCATTTCCTTTTTCTGAAGAACAGGCCTGTGTCTATACCTTGGGCAGCATCAATATCTGGTTAGAATGTAACCATTATTGTATTGTCTTCATGGTATTCATTTTTTCTGGTAATCTTCTGTTTATGACGAGTAGTATTATTTTATATATATGGTAGTATGCAAAGTTTTAAAATACAATTTTTAAATTAAAAAGTGTTTCACTGGAAAGAAAAACAGTTCATGCTGTAAGTTAAGCTTACTTACTTTGAGTTTAACTCAGCACATGTATTTTCAATGTCTACAGTTGTTCAGTCCTGTACTAGTCATGGGGAAATACCAAGACAGCCGTAACTGGGGCTTTGCTCCAGAGGACCACGGCAGGGACACTCTGCAAAGAGATATGCTGAGTAGTGCGCACAGGTAGGGATGTTTACCCTGGGGCTATGGTAACACCGAGGGGCACACCTGGGCTGGGATAAGGACAGGAATGTAGGGGGGGTGTTAGGCTGTATATGTGAATCCAGACTGATTCTAATAATAATATGTATTTACTAAATTTTAAAAATTGGTATTTTGCAGTTAGATAAATGCCATTATCTCATGTGTCCATTGCTATCCATAGCTATTGTTTTGGTCGAATAAATTGAGAGAATATTATTAAGGTCTTTGACAGTTTGCTCACTTAGTTGTCATCAGATGTTTACTGGTAGCCCTAAGTGGGTGAACTCAAAGTACATCATGGGAGCAGACACGTACCAGGTACTTGGATGCAGTGTGAGGAGTGCTGGGTCAAGATCTATGGACTATACTCTGGGAACACCTGAAGCTGCATGGGGTGGGGAATAGGTGCCCCTAGACCTGGATCTTGCTGTAGGAGTTTGCTGGGTCTGGGGAGAGAGGCATGTGTTCTTGGGGAGTAGGTAGAGTGTGCTTTTCAAGTTCAATTAGATTGTAAAGGGGTCTTTGTGAATTTTACAGAATTTTTCACATTTTCAGTTTACACATGGTTATGAGCATAGAATCAAGCTTTCTCCCCTTCTTGCTTCCAAATTTTCCTTTCATCTTTGTTCTGCTTTGGTGCTTCGATGGATCAGTTCAGAAAGCCACAGGGCTGCCGCTTACAGGCTGGCTGGATCTTGTTTGATTTTTTGTTTTGTTTTGTTTAAGAAGAGAAACTGTTTCTTCATACTTGGAGCAAGCGCTCAGGCTTCCAGAGTGAAGAAAATTCCTACTCTGTCTGTGTATCCAGAGAGGATGGAAGTGCAGTATGTCTCTAAACATTGTTTTGATAAGTAGACTTTTTAAAATTGGTATATGATTTCTATTAACCTTACTTTCTTCTGTATCAGAGTGCATCATGCAATTATAGCACCTCTATGGCAGTTAAGTTTATATATAAAGAATTAACATTTTGCTTTGCAGTCTACATTGCTGGTGACTTTTGCCTTTGGAAATAGGAACTTGCCAAAAATCTAAAGTAATGTTCAGGCAATATACTCAACACTCTGAGTGTTTGTTCTGGTGTGTTTAACCTGGTGAAGGATGATAGGGAAATAAGTAAAGAAGTGAAGTTTTGAATAAAAACTGACTGCCTTGCCCTGTATTTCCTTTTCCCTCTATCATCTTTCCATATTATAACTTTTGGTTAAATCAACTTTCAGTGTTTATGTTAATGTAACTATAAAATAACTGTCTGTAGTTGAGTCATGGACTGCAAGTATATTTCCTTACTGTACAACTTTCTGTTATCCAGGAGTTGATAACTGCCCATTATTTTACGTTTTAAGAAATGTATACATCACCAGTTTATCCTCAAGCTCTGATAGAACGGTGCACTTCCTCTCAAGATGGTGGAACCCATTAGTTACTTAGACTCTGAGTGAACAATTTTTCATGTTCATGGATGACCATCATCTTTTGAATAGCCTTCCCGTGTCTGGGGAGATGTCCACATGTAAAAAGCTCTGTCTCCGTAATTTAGGAGACATCTTCAGCCGGGGATGCATTCAGGTGGCTTAAGTTCTTTTAATTAGACCAGCCATACTGGACTTTTATTTGGAAGTAAGCACTTTGCATGTTGTTCTTTAAATTTTGTGTGGCTTTCAGCAGCAGTGGTGATCTCCTGGTCAGAGCTGGAATCCCTCCGGGAGCCACCTGCCGCATTCTGCATTCTGTACTTTATTACCCTCCTGGCCCGCTGCGCATTCGGAGTAAAGCATCCCTTAACTGCCATTCTTGAAATTACTTTGACCTCAAACCCTGTTTTCTGAATTCCATGTCTTGTCTTTATGTAATCCTCGTTTTAGTAGGGTTCATCCTGTAGTAGCTTTGTAGGAAGGGTGCAGGAGATGTGCGTGTCTCTGCTTGTCAGAAAGGTGGCCTTAATGGGTGGATTGGCTGAGTGTAGAATTCTAGATTGGATATAATTTTCCCTCAAAAACTGTTGTTCCCCCACTGTCCTCTGAGCTTCTAGCATGTCTGTTGAGAAGTCCAGGGCCCCTTCTTTGGTATGTCACTGATTGTTTTTCTCTCTGGAGACTTTAGAAACTTGATCTCCTTGATTTCTAAAATGTGGATGAACTTTGGAGTTGGTATTTTCCATCCATTTTGCTAGACTCATTCAGTATTAAACTTGGTGCTATTTTTTTCTTCGTTAGGGGAGGGTATTATTCCTTTGATAATTACCATATCTTTATTTCATTTGTTCTTACTATCTATGAACCTTATTAGTTGGGTGTTATAAGTCCTGGATTAATTCTTTAATTTTTGAAACTTTTTTTCTATCCTCCTTTCATCTGATTGCTTTTTTTGTTGTAGTTCCTGGCAGATGTTTGTTCTGTTTTTGTAGTTTCACTTTCCATGAACTTGTTTTGTTCACCAAATTTTTCTTTTTTATACCATCTTACTCTTATTTCGTGGCTACAATGGTTTATCTTGCCGACGACAATGTTGGGATTCTTTTTGAAGGGCTCCTCTGCAGTGTTCCTGGTCCATATTTCCTTTCAGCCCTTCACCTATACGGTCTTTCTGGTTGGAGGCTATTTTTTTTGTTTGTTTGTTTGTTTTTGAGACAGAGTCTCACTCTGTCACCCAGGCTGCAGTACAGTGGCACAATCTCCGCTCACTGCAACCTCCGCCTCCTGGGTTCAAGTGATTCTTCTGCCTCAGCCTCCTGAGTAGCTGGGACTACAGGTGTGCACCACCACACCTGGCTAATATTTTTTTTTTTTTTTGTATTTTTAGTGGAGACGGGGTTTCACCATGTTGGCCAGGCTGGTCTCAAACTCCTGACCTCGTGAACCACCCGCCTCGGCCTCCCAAAGTGCTGGGATTACAGGCTGAGCCACCGCGCCTGGCCAGAGGCCTTCTTGAGGTGTCTGGTGGTCCTTCGCTTTCTGCACATCTGTAACAGCCAGTTCTGAGAACCGATCGGCACGTTGTGTGTGTGGACGGGGCTGCGGTGGTGGGGAGAGGATTGGGCCATCTTGTTGGCAGACCCTAACATGCTGCTATCTCCCCCTCCCCAGTAACTAACTCATCGTTGACTCTCAGAGGAGAAGTCAGGGTGTCTGGAGAGCTGGAGGCTGACTGGGGGACGGGCCTGTTACGTGTTTTAACTGAGTCCCCGTTTTCCATGGACTCGCCTGCTGTGGCCCCTCCAGATGGCAAGTCCTCTTGACTTCCTACAGGACAGGTGGGGATTGGGAAGGGGGATCTCTGAATTGCTCCCTACAGATTGTTTACCCAGCCCCCCGCCACCCTCTGATTCCTGTCTTTGGGGTTCTGCACTTTAATTAGCTTGCTTCTTATCCTGTCACCTAGAACAGATTAAAACTTTAATTATCACTTGTCTTTCTGCTTTTCTCCTTCCAAAATTTTTTTGACCTTTCTTATCTGTTACCATCTCACCTCATGTTTTCTTTGCCCTTGTGGTATTTGTTTTTATTTCTTTACTGTCATTTTAATGGGGTCCCATGGAAGAGTAGAGAGAAACATGAGCATTTAATCTGTCTGTTTACCAGAAACCTCTGCAAAGGCATCTTTAATAAGCAGTTTTTTTTTTTAAACCAACCTGTTTTCTAATAGGTTTTAATACTGTGCTATCTGGTAATGTGCCAGAGTTTTCAGTGTCTCAAGGAATTGGTAGACTAAGAATAAACCTAAGAATAAATGAATTAAACAGCACAACTGGAGCGTCTCTGGCAGGGAACCTGGTCTGAGGAGGCCATGTAAGGGTGGGGTGGCCTTTGTTTAGATTCGCCAGGAAAAGCTTCAGGGAACTCAGGAAGTGCTGCTCAGGGGAAAGGGTCTCCCAGCTGTGTTTAGGACCCAGCGAATGGGAGATCTGAAGTGGGAAGGCCGGCCAGGCTCTCCCACCATCCAGAGGCAAAATGAGGTCTGGGTCTGTAGAGAACATCCCCAGTGAAGGGTAAGAGAGGAGAGTCCAGCTGAGATAGACGATGGGAAGGAAAGAGAGTTTTGGAGGTTTCTTGCAGATGAGAGCAGATATATTTTAATGAGGATGAAGATGATCCTAGTGTTGTAAATGTTAAGGATATCTTGAATGTGTTTACATTTGGTAGTTATTAACACACGTCTGCAGGTAAACATGATTTTTCTGGTTATCCTTTGCCTTTAGGAGAGAAAAAGAGGCAAGTTAAGTAAAGTATTTTAAGGTTATATTTAGTTCGAAAAGAAATTTCTGACTGTAGACCCGGCTCTCTGCAGATGTGGCTTGCTCTCCAGGAGTCACAGAACCCAACTCGACCTCCTCCCTGGAAGCCCACCAGAGAATCCAATAAATAAAACAGTCAGAGCAAGGGTGTTGTAATTGAGACCCCACCTACCTGGCCTTCCCCTTGCCCTGTCACTGGACAGGTGATACTAAGCATTCATATTTAGAATCGTGATGGAGACTTTGCCAGTCTTCAGTCCTCAAGGAAAGATGCAGTGGTGCTCATTTAAGGCAGAAAATATAACTAATGTCTGTGTTTCAGTGTAATTTTTAACAATAAAGAATGAAACGGGAAGAAATTTCCGATTAATACTTATGAACCCAGAAAATGAAGTTAGTCATTGTAGCATAATCCTTAGCTCCTCAGCCTTCAGTTGTACTGTTGCTGTATTTGAGCTTTATTGAAGAGAACAGCTTCACAGTATCTGTATGTGTGGCCCAGTGCCAAGACCAGTGTGAAACTAAAAACAACAACAGCAAACTGTTAGAGTAATTATAACAAAAGTCAAGTCTGTAGCCTTATGTGTCAGGAATAAAGAATAAGAGTTCAGTTTATTTGGCCAGTGTTTGGTGTTCACATTGCTGTTTATGTAACTCTACATATGGTCTTTCAAAGTGATCGTGCACTTCCAAAATGAAGTATCTACCCACTTTTATCAGCTTTCCCAAATGTTATCTTTTAATGTCTTCATCACGATTAGAACACCCATTAGTAATTAGGATAACTCAGGAAAAGGATCTTCCATGTGGACCACCATCCTGGCTGGAGGTTGTTATTCTTCTCTGTGCATTTTTGGTGCCCTGGATTTGGCCTGATCCTCAGGCCCCTTTAAGTTAAAAATACCCGGTGTGTGGTCTGCCAGCTGGCCCAAGGCCAGGCTTTTTATAGCCTTGTCTGGCCTGGGAATGGAGCTTAGCATGAGGGGAGGTGCCGGGGGGCCTTCTCTGGCTTGGTAGACCAGAAGTGTGGGGAGGCCCTGCTGCCTCGCTAAGTCTTAGCTCTGTCATCATAAATAAAAGACGAGTCATCTGATGGCAGTCCCTTTCTTCTCTGATATCTTTTGGTAAAATATTTGTTACAATAACCAAGGAGACAACTTTGAGTAAATTTCCCATTATTTTTGAAGCCTGTTGCCCCTTCTGCCAGGGAGAAACTTCACCGCCTGGGTCCATATACTTTCACTAATTAACTGAGCACCAGGTTCCTGGAGAAACATATTTATTAAATGTCAAAAATTTGGGGACATTTAGTCTTCATTTTTGGTCTTCTGTGTCCAGTGGCATTTTTCCTAAATTATGTCCAGCATTTCCTTGAGATTATGTATGCTATTTTTTATTCTAAATTGTTGCCTCGATTCTTCTGAAGGTACTCACGTGTTACCAGGGTTCTTCCCTCTCCTCCCCTGGGAGTACTTAGAAAACCATTTTTGTCTCCCTTCCTTCATGCCCTCTTCCCTGGAAGAGTTTTATATACTAAATCATAGGGTTAAAGTAATAAATGCCATTGATACCTTGCTTTGTTTTGTTATTAAACATTGGTAAGGAATTTGGTAAAGTGAGGGATAATGTTACAGAATTGTCATTACAAATAATTTTCAGGCTATACCCCACAGTCAGCCAACATGTGGGACCCGCTGCTAAGACTTAAAATATTAAATAGCAGAATGTTAATTAATTCATAGAGAGAAGCATCTGCATTTACGTAGTCTAAAAGAGTCAAAATTTAAACACCTCTTTGTGTAAATCGTTACAGTCTTTGCATGTTTTTCTGTCCCAGAGAGCAGACAATCACATTCATTTTCTCCTTCTTTTCTTGTTCATTACTAGATGGAAGGGGCAAAAGAAGAAAAAGACAAATATTTGGGTGCTTTTCTGTGCTGGGGAGGATAGCTTTTTTGGTTTTCTTTTGTTTTTAAAGCCCTTAAGGACCGTAGTTGGTAAGCCAATTGTCACAGTTTGGGTGGACCCTAAGGAGGGGAAGCCGTGTCATTGGCCCTGACACTGATTATTGAAGGACAATTGTTCACTTTCTCTCTCGGATTAAAAATGCATGAAAGCACCTTTTTGACACCGGGCTTTCTGAAACCCAGTGCTGTCTTTTTTTGTAATACTCCTGTGGATGTTTTTGCACAAAGTGGCACCTGTTAGAGCTGGAAGTGTTCTTGCACGGCTGTCTTTGATCTAGTAGCCCTGGACAACTTTAAGCACATAGTTACTAGATGCAGGCCCGCCCAGCCCCGGGAGAGCATATCTGGCTTGCACGTATTTAAGGTGATGTGCAGAAGAGAACTGGACCAATTGACAGGCTGCACTGTACACAATTACTGTGTTTCCCATTTGAATTATCACTTCATTTCTGAAAATGGAAAAGATGGGACGGAATGATAGGAAGTTTTGAGAATGCTACAATATATGATTAAATTGGAGACTCTTTTTGACTGGACAATATGAATCTGTATTTTTATTATTGCATTTTGGGTGATTTTGGACGCCAGTATTCTTATTTAGGATTGAATTCTCACATGAAATTGTGTAAATATTTTTCTTTTTGAGGACCTATTTCTAAAATTAAGCGGCTTTTTTGAATTTGTATTTTGAATTCCTAATTTTGTAGGCTATGCCACTTTTAAGACATAAGTGCCTAAAAGGATGAAAAGTAATAGAAAGTAGAATGGGGAAGTGGAAACACTGGAATCACCCCTTGCACTGAACGCATAGTAATTTTTAATGATCACAGAGTGGCTCTTCGTTGTAATTAGTGTAATTTCTCAAACAAGCATTTAATGTATAGGCAGTTTAAGCATTTTTTTCTTTCTGAAAATATGTTAGACTAATATTCTTTCAGAATTTCTTCTGGGAAGAAAGAATTGTCTATTTAAATTTTACTAAGGTTACCTTTTGAAGACCACTAACCTGGTTGAAGCAGTTAAACTTGCTATCCGTTCTTTGAAACCACATTGAGTGAGAAAATTAAAAAGGAAAATGGCTTAAATATTTTCCCCTTGACAGGAGAAATGATAAGTATTTACTGTAAAGTGTCCAGATAATGTAAAGGAATATGAAAGTCACAAAAATTCCCCCATCATCTTTCCACTCACAGATAACAAGTGGTTGTATGAAGGGAACGAGGTGCTTCATTAATCTTTGAACCTTGCGTATTTGTCCCGTATTTATTAACAGCATTGGGCAGTGTTTTTGAATGTTCTGTGTGGTTATATTATTTATTACCGTGGGGGAATGAGCCAGGTCTGGCTCTTTGAACACTGCTAATTTACATGAAGAAAATGTCCCCAAGGAGGAGACTTAACTAGGGAAAGACTCAGTTACCTTGGCCTCTCTCTGTGTGTGCCAGAGCCCCCCTGCAAGCACTAGGGGCTGCTTCTAGAAAGGGGACCCAGATCTTAAGACTTCGAGGAGGAAGATACCCTATTTGTTCTCCAAGACCATTCAGTCGTGAAGGGTTCAACTTGTTCCGGGTTATTTATTTAGCATTCTCTATTTTCTGCTTTGCTTTTGACACTCCAATGTTTAATTGTATATTTAGGAAATAACAATGAAGAGTACGTTTTTAAAAAGAAGAATGTTTTCTGGAAGGGATTTCCCCCCACTTTTGGACAGTGAGTTAGACTCCTTCTGAAGCCTCTGGATCTAGGTTATTACAGGGTTTGTCTTCTTGAAGCTGGAACTGTCCAACTGTTGTGCTATTTCAGACCTGGCCTGTCTTTCACTTTCAAGCTCCAGAAATAATTTATAGCTGTAGGGTGTCAGGAGTGGGTTTGAACTGGGCCTGCCCAACGTAACATGGAATTGTGCACAGATTGTTAAAATTACTATTTCTGCATTCAAATGACTAAGTACAGTAAACTTTTTACTGGCACAGTTAATTTATTTGAATATTTATTGGTCGAGTGCTTCACGTAGAAGACTAACATAATGAAAAAGCCCAGCACATACTCAGAGCTGATTTGGCTTTTTAAAAGATTCTAGGCTTGAATATAGCTAGCTAAATGGTCTTTAGCAAATTGACTGGCAGTAAATTGATCCCTGTGGACTGTGGCTTGAATCAGCCTCTCATTCTTTAAAGGTATTATGGAGATATTGTTATCTCAGCGCAAGGCTGGTCTAGAAAAGGGATGCTTTCAGTACAAATACTTGTTACTTACATATTTCCTTCCTAACTGGGTAAAGTTATATTTCTATTCTTTACCTCTCGCAAGAGCATATAGGGACTTCGAATCAGAATATTTTGTTCAATTGTAATAGCCTTCACAAATTTAGTTTGTTTCTGTGTTTAAGTCTCTTTTGACTTAAAAAAAAAAATTTGAGGCCGGGCGCAGTGGCTCACACCTGTAATCCTAGCACACTGGGAGGCCGAGGTGGGAGGATTGCCTGAGGCCAGAAGTTTGAGACCAGCCTGGGCAGCATAACGAAACCTCCCTGTACAGAAAAAATTTTTAAAATTAGCAGGGCGTGGTGATGTGCACCTGTAGTCTCAAGCTTGAGCGGTTGAAGTGGGAGGACCCTTTGAGCTCAGGAGTTTGAGGTTACAGTGAGCTGTGATGAGGCAACTGCACTCCAGCCTGGGCAACAGAGCAAGAAGACTCTGTTTCCCTGTCTCTTAAAAAAAAAAAAAAATTAAGAGCCAGTGATTTGGACCTTCATTAATTCAGTGTTTTCATTGACTTACTCATATGACTATTCCAACCAGAAGGATGTAATTTTTCCCCCTCTGAGCCCCCAATTTTACCATTAGCAGATGTTTTTCCAAAACTAACCACAAGGAAGCATGTCAAGACTAACTCAGAGGATTATACAGAGGATTAAACTATGATTTAATTACAACAGTGGGCTCTCTGGCTCTATTAATAGCTAATGACTTGTATTATATTTTCCCGTGCCTGTGAACTCTATGCTATTTTAGACCTTTCAGATATTAGCGACCCCAGCTACAGCTATCTTACTTACTCTGAAAGTAGGAGCCTCTCGTTTCATGTTTAGTTTTGTTTTATAACTTAATATTTCTTCCTCCTTCACTTAATTGGGAGAGCAAAAGGTTTACTAAACAAACAGGTTTGAAAACCCAAAGCTTCCCTCATGTCTTGGTGAGCTTGCTGTGAAGTGGAGTAGCCTGTTATAATGCTGATAGGGATAATGGCTGGAAGCTTTGTGCTTCCTTAAGGAATGTGCTACATGCATCATTTGCACATACAGTGATCGGTTTGACTGGTGGAATTACTAAGACCATGGTATAGGGTGGTACTTTAAAATCTTACAGTGCTTAAGGACTGGATTAGGAATTAGGACTTAAGAATTCTAGGTTTAACTCTGTGCTTTAAATCTTACTTAACACATTGGGATTATAGTACTTAAGTATGCCTGTATTGAAATGTGTTGTGAGACTAGATGAAAGTCTATGTAAAAATGAATTTGAAATATTTGGATATATTCTTTAAAACAATCTTATTGTGTGTTTTTATTCAGAGCCCTAGAGTTGTCCTGAGGATGAGTATTTTCCCACCGCGGGCATGAAAATGGATCCTAATGGTAGACCCAGTCCTCTAGGGTGGTCAGTTTGAGGCCCAAGCTTCCTTTCCAGGGAGGCAGTGGCTTAACCTGGGTCACCCTGTAGGAGCAGTAGCTGGAGGCTGCAGGACAGGTGCTTTTTTCTCCTCCCACGTGTGCTTTTTGTGGTGGAAGAGGGGGCAAGGTGTAGAAATGTCTGACTCTGATTCCTCCATCTGCCAGCACAGCTTCTCTTGTTCTCTGTGGTCTCACCTTTATGGCACAGTACTCTTTCCTATTTGTCTTTGAGCTCTGAGGCTCAGCCCTAACCTCGAAGAGATGGCTTCTGCATCTGTCAGATGGGTCTCATAGTATTACCTGCCTCCATACGTTTTGTTTTTAGTTTTGTTTTAAGATAAGGCCTTGTTCTGTTGCCCGGACTGGAGTACAGTGGCACGACCACGGCTCACTGCAGCCTAGGACTCCTGTGTTCAAGTGATCCTCCCACCTCAGCCTCCTGAGGAGCTGGGACCACAGGCATGTACCACCATGCTGGCTAATTTCATTTTTTGTGGAGATGGGGTCTCACTATGTTGCCCAGTCTGGTCTCGAACTCCTGGGCTCCAGTGATCCCCCACTTTGGCTTCTCACAGTGCTGGGATTACAGGTATGAGCCACACTGTGCCCAGCCCTCCATAAATTTTTGTGAGGTTAAATGAGGTGATACTTGTAAATAATTTAATGTTTTCACTCACTAAAAAACAAACTTTTTTTGGTGAGAACGTTATGAATGTTTTCATAAAACATGTCGTTCTTCAGGGAGTTGTGAATTGTGACATTAACAATTTCCTTTTATCAACCAAAGCTAGCTACTAGTACCTGTTCCTACCCCCTCCTCTTTCTGTTTTTCTGGCAGGGGGCACTAAGGAACGAACGGAATTGCCAGGGTGAGCTGGAATGAGCTTGAAAGGCTGTTTTCCTTGGTTTTGAGTGATTATTGACTTGTACTTGGGGACTTTCTGTGGAATTCAGAAAATTAAGGTTTCTTATGACCCATAACCTGAGGCAGTTCAGGAAGCCCTTTGGGGCTGTGAAGCAGGGGTAGGGGCTTGTCCTGGAGCAGAGCACGGAAGATTCAGGTGTCTGCTTGGTTCCTCCAGGCTCTGGGATGTTAAGCTTATTAAATAGCCTCTCTAGACCCAGGGAACATGTTGGGTCAGCTTTCAAAATTGACAAAATTGTCTCAGGACTGAGGAAGTGTGGCCTGTTCCACAGTGCTTACAGCCTGCTGCTGTAAACCGTCGCGGTGTGCCCCCGCACCCATCCCGGCCATCCTGCCACGCGGAATTGTGTCCACCTCTAGATACCAGCTAACACTGTGCTATTTGCTTGTTGTGTTTGAATATATAGGGCACAGATGAAACAGTGAAAGATTTAGGAAGGTTTTATTGAGAGTTCATTTCTTTTGCAAAAATGTTACAGCACATTAACTGCTGTAATTACCATAAATAATTAAAACAAAAATATGATCATAAGAATAAATGAACAAAATGTGTTAAGTTGTAACATGGGCCTCTGTTGATTGTTCTGGCCTGTTTACTTCCAGTCAATTACTAGGCAGTTTTTGTCCACTTGGGCTGTTTGATAAGGCTTTTGTGATAAACTATGAGTTCGGGGCAGTTGGGGTTGGGATGGGTGCTTATCATATATCATAGAAGGCATTTCATGAAGCATAAAATTCAAATTGTAATAATGTCACTAGTGTCTAAGTTAACACGAAGAGATGAATGAACATAGGTCAGAGAGATGGGGAATGATGTCCACTTTTGGAAGAGCAAGTTTGTAATACTATTATCTAAGTTATTCTTAAGAATTAGTAATAGATTTTTAAGGCGTATGGATGATATTATACATTTAAAGCCCATTAGCGAGCACATTGTTTTTTGATTTTCGAAAGTTTGGGAATTAGTCAGAATTTACACTGAGAGTAGACTTCAGCTACAAAAATATTGTGTGCAAGTGTACCTTCTGCACAGGGTTCCGGTGTGTCTGAGGAAGGCGTGTGCTAACACAGACGCGTGGGATGCTGACCCACAAAACACTGCAGGCCCGTCCACTTTGTGTGTTTCACGTGGCGGCAGACTACACGCTTACCTTTATTTTCAGTTTCTTTTCTGACAAAATATCACATATTTCAGTCAGTGTTTCTGATAAAGTTTGTAAAATAATCATTTTATAATTATATTAAGATGAAATACTAACAAGCTAAACAATAAGTTAGCTATATGAAAACTGGTTAAAATAATGAAACCTTAAGTTCATCAAAGCAGTTCATCATTTTGAATGGAGCCCTAAATTGTGTGTGTGTTTCTCTGTCTTTGTGTGTGTGAGTGTGCGTGCATGTGAGTATCTTTTTAAATGCCACAACTAGAGATGGGAATATGGAATTCAGTGATTTACATTGGAGAAATTAGCTCTGGAATCTAGGAACCAGATGGCTACTCTTAGAGGATCCTCAGGGATGCTATCATACTTTTATGAAAAAGACAATTGTTGAAATACCAGTATGAGAATAAAGATTATAGTGGTTTGTTCTCTGTTATCAAAATTTTCAGGAAAAATGTGGTTATGTAGCCTACAATTTTCACGTATTATAATTATAACTCTTCGTGTGGACTGGTTGTAGATGGAGGGAAGACAGCAGGCTCTGGAGACTTTCTGGACCCCTGCTTCTTTGTAGGGTTGTTATGAGGACAACATGTGTTCCTAGATATTGAGGTCTTAGAGCAGTGCCTGGAGTGAGGTAAACAACATAAACTGATGTAGGTTGCCTAACGTTAACTGGAGCGAACTTACTGCAGGTGCCATGTGGAAAGATGTGTGTATGTTTCAGCAAATACGTTCCACTATACCAATGCCTAGAACCATGTATGTGTGTGTGTATGTGGTGACCATATAGCCTATGCTTTTCAGGATGCATTGAATGATAACAACATAAACACTTAAAACCTCCCACTGTGTGCCATGTGCTGGTTTTTGGCATTTTATGTACATTAACTCATCAACTTCTTAGGAATTCTAAGATGTATGTCCTATTAACTCATTTTACAGATGATAAAACTAAGGCATGGAGAGATTAAGTAACTTCCCCAAGTATTTCTAGTGGAGAAGCCGGGGTTGCATCCAGACTCTGACCTTAACCACTGCTCCATGCTGCCTCCCTGCATCAAGCACTGTGTCTTATTATAAAAACACTTGTGTATCCACATGTGTGTGTCTGTATATGGCAGAGCCCATTTAATACATCCTGTGTGTGTGGGCATGCATATCCTCTCTCTCTCTCTCTCTCTCTCTCTCTCACACACACACACACACACACACACACACACACACACACACAAACTGATGTTGGCTTTCTAAAATGCTTAAGCCTAGTAAATCTCAATGCTGAAAAACCCATTCAGTCATATTTTGTTGAAACTGTGACAAAATATAAGGGGAAGAAATTTGGGGGAAAAACTAGAAAAGTAATACATATCTAAACTGGACCGTTGGGAGCTTGACGTGCTGGCAATCTAAGGGTAGGATGGGCTATCTGACCTCACTCATTCACCCCAAGGCTGGAAGGGTCCAGAAGGGCTTGCAGTTGGATTTATGGGAGCCGCATGGAGGAGCTGGGATTCAGGAAAATTTACATGTTTGCTTGAACTGTTAACCACAACTAGAACATCAGTGTAGTAAGATTTGTCTGTTTACTGGGTGCTTTTACATCAGTAATCTCCTTTGAACCTCATAATAGTTCTCTTAAATGACACCAAAAGTATTACCATTTTCCAGACGAGGAAATTGAGGCTTAGGTTAAGTGACATTCCTAAAGTTACACAGTTTTGAAGTGTCAAAAGCTGAACTTTGGTTTTCTGATAACAAAACAATATTCTTTGATTCTGTCACCCGCAATTTCAAGAGAGTGTCAGTGCCCTGGTCCCCTGCTTTGTGGAGGCTGTACAGAGCCCCTGGGAAGCTGAGGTGCCAGGCATACCCACTGAGAATGCAAGGACAGGTGGCTGTTAGAAGCAGAGGCCCTGGTGTGTACTTGGCCTGGGGGCTAACTTCTAGTATGGGGTTTCAAGAAGCCCTCTTGCTCAAGTGTGAAGGAGGGCTTTGTTCTGAAGCTTCTATTTGAATTGGAAACTCAGGGTGTTGTTGAGCTAGGAAGGGGGCTGAAGAGCCATGACCAAGGTGCTGGCCACCTACTCTGGAACTACTTTGATTTTTTGTTTCAGTTTGGCTTAAGGAAACAAAGAGGCAAATAGTGTTCTGTTCCTAACTGGTATAGTAGTCAGTTTTGCATTGGAAATATACAGTCATGTTGCTTAACAACAGAGATATGTTCCGAGAAATGTGTCATCAGACAGTGTAGTCATTGTGTGAACACCATAGAGTGTACTCACACAAACCTAGATGGTATAGCCTGCTGCACACCTAGGCTATATAACAGAGCCTGATGCTCCTAGGCTGCAAACCTGTGCTGCATGTGACTGTATTGAATACTCTAGGCAACTGGAACACAGTGGCAAGTGTTTGTGCGTCAACATATTGAAACATAGAAAAGATACAGTAAAAATACAACTTAGGTGTCCATCAGTGGGATGAATGGATAAAGAAAATGTGGTACACAGACAGTAGAATGTTATTCAGCCATAGTAGAGAATGAAATCCTGTCATTTCGAACAACGTGGATGAAACTGGAGGACATTATGTTACGTGTAATAAGTCAGGCACAGAGAGACAAATAATGCATGTTCTCCCTCATAGATGGGAGCTAAAAAAAAAAAGTGAACTCATGGAGCTGGATAGAATGATGATTAACAGAGGCTGGAAAGTGTAGTGGAGAGATGGGAGGGGGGATAAAGAGGGGATGGTTAATAGGTACAAGTATACTGTTAGAAGGAATAAGATGTAGTGTTTGATAGCACAGTAGGGCAACTATAGTTAACAATAATGTAATTTCAAAATCACTGAAAGATTGGAACTGGAATGTTCCTAACACAAAGAAATGACAAATGTTTGAGGTGATGGATATATTAATTACCCTGATTTGATGATTACACATTGTATGCTTGTATCAAAAGATCACAAGAGGCTGGGCTCGGCAGCTCACACCTGTAATTCTAGCACTTTGGGAGGCCACGGTGGTCAGATCACTTGAGGTCAGGAGTTCAAGACGATCCTGGCCAACATGGTGAAACCCTGCCTCTACTAAAAAGTATACAAAAATTAGCCAGGTGTGGTGGCGTGTGCCTGTAGTTCCAGCTACTCAGGAGGCTGAGGCAGGAGAATCGCTTGGACCCAGAAGGTGGTGGCTGGAGTGAGCCAAGATCCCACCATTGCACTCCAGCCTGGGTAACACAGTAAGACTCTGTCTCAAAACAAAAACAAAAACAAAAAACAAACCACACATACCCCATGAATATGTACAACTGTTACGGATTCATAATAATTAAAAGTTAAAAAAACCGTAAAAATGGTTCACCTGTGTAGGGCACTTAACTGTGCATGGAGCTTGCAGGACTGGAAGTTGCACTGAGCGAGTCAGTGAGTGAGTAGAGGGTGAATGTGAAGGCCTAGGGCATTACTGTACACTACTGTAGACATTATCAACCCTATACACTTAGGGTACACTAGATTAATTTTTTAAATGATTATGCTACAATATGATGGTGATTACCATGTCACTGTTTGATAGGAATTTTTCAGTAATTGTATGGGACCACTCTTTTTTATTTTTTGAGACAGAGTCTTGCCTGTCGCCCAGGCTGGAGTGCAGTGGCCGCAATTTCAGCTCACTGCAACCTCCGCCTCCCGGGTTCACGCCATTTTCCTGCCTCAGCCTCCCAAGTAGCTGGGGCTACAGGTGCCCGCCACCACGTGTATGGGACCACCGTTGTATATGTGGTCCATCATAGACCGAAACACTGTTATGTGGTACATGACTGTAAATGAATCAGAATTGTCTGATGATTCCTTTTCTGTCATCCCTTACACTACTGGTGCCAGTGCCATTAGGATGGCTGCCCATCGCCTGAGTTTTGGCCATAAAGGAATGGAGAGCAGGGAGAGTTCGCCTTCCCTTAAGAGTTGGCATTTTTTGTTTGGTGCCTTACTTGATGTTTAGATTTTAGTTCTTTAAAAAAAAAAATTCTAGTGTTTACAGGTGTGCTGTAGTGCACCTGTGTAAAGGAAACTTAAAGTTGAATTATTTTATAATTTATACACCAGCCTTTTATACAGAGCAATGCTTATGGCAGCTTCTTTCTCTGTGTTAACTGGTATTAAAGCTTTTCTAGATTAAAAGCCGTAGGTTGCAAAACATGGTTTTTTGCATGTGCAGTTATTTCTTTACCACTGAGTTGTCCTTCCAAGCCTGGTCTAAATGTGCTTGAAAATCACCATCTGCTCCCTGCAGTTTGGAGAGGGCACAGAAAGACTAAGGTGAAAAGCTGTCACTTCTAATGTTTTCATTCAGACTTTCACACCCTTCTTGTCTAGTTACATAATTGTATGCAGCAGGAGTTGTTTCAACCATTTGGTCTTGTCCTTATTTTGAGAGAGAGAGAGAGATTAATTTTAAGAGAGTTGGGTCACAGTACTGAGGCAGATTTGAGAATCTGATAAACCATGAAAGTGTTCAGAATGGAATCTTCCTGCTCAGTCAGTTTGTTAGTGGATAAGTCCATTGCATAAATGACATGAATATGAACAAAAGCACCTATACTTATGCATATATCTCCCTTTGCAGAATATGCTTTAAATTTTGCAGAATATGCTTACAAATTTTTAATGCCGTATGCTTAGATTTTACTTTTTGAAGTCAGTATAGCACAGAGTTGATGATATAATAGTGCTTTACAATTTTATTTGATGTTCAGAATTTATTATAGATAATATAGAGGAAGGATTTTGAATTGTTCACATAACTTATTTTTTCAGTGTCTTCTTTTTTTTTTTCTTAAAAATTGATCTATTTTGGTTTTGATTGGAATGAATGGCCACAATAGGATTTGAAAATGAAACAGGACAGAAGCCTGTTAGTGTAAACTGGCAATAATTTCTAATAGTCAGGAACAAGAAGACCATTAAATCGTGGGATTTATGCCATTGAAAAGGTAGTAAGATAAAATAAGAATATTACTATACTCTAGAACTGTAAATTTTGATCTTTCTGCGAGTTAATTATCTAACATCCATACCAAGCTGGAGACAATAGCTGACTCTTTCATTTACTTGGAGGTGATTGTAGGAGAAGAAAAGGATTTCAGTCTTCAGTTGGCAAAATGATGGTTCTAACTTGCATGTAATGGAATCTTTAGTATACCCACAAAAGATTATTTCATTAAGATGTTAATAATAGATTTTTGAGGAACAGCGTTTTATACTTTTCATAATTAGGACATAGAACTTAAAACAGAAATTCTTTTTTTTCCCCCTCTACTTCTTTTCTAGCTTGAGAAAATCTGGATCTCTTTAGAAAAAGCCTTTGGTCTATTTAAGCACTCTGTTTGTGCCAGAGTTACTTGCTTTTTTGTGCAACCAACATTTTAGAATTTCTCTAATGACACAAAAACTTGGTTTGGAAAAAGATACACATTCCAGGCCCTCAGAGAACAATAGCAGAGCCACGTAGTAGGTCTGTCAGCCACCTTGTACACTGTGGTCGTTAGTAGAGCCGAGACGGAGAGGTACTGGTTGTATGAAAGGTAGACAGAGGAGCCTTTGCAGGAAGGATAGGTGACATTTGAAGGTGCCAGTGAAGGAACAACAGGACTCTGTGTGTTTGGTGGTGGGGAGGGGGGACAGGCATGTTCTTGACAGGGGAAACAGTTTATCCATTGCTTTATAATCCTAGACTGGCATGGTGTGCTGACGAAGAGTAACCTGGAGAATGTGATAGAAGTCTGGGTTAAGAAACTAGACCAGGCCAGGCGTGGTGGTTCATGCCTCTAATCCTAGCACTTTGGGAGGCTGATGCCGGTGAATTGCTGGACACAGGATTTCGAGGAATTCGAGAGCAGCCTGGGCAACATGGCAAAACCCTGTCTCTACAAAAAATACAAAAAAATTAGCCAGGCATGGTGGTGCTAGCCTGTGGTCTCAGCTACTCGGGAGGCTGAGGTAGGAGGATTGCCTGAACCCTGGAGGCGGAGGTTGCAGTGAGCTGTGATTGTACTACTGCACTCAAGCCTGGGTTTCAGAGTGAGACCCTGTCTCAAAAAATAAAAAAATAAAAAATTAATAAATAAATAAGAAACCAGACCAGAGACAGGTTGTGAATGTGAATGGTCTTATACACCTTCCCACGGAACCTGAACTTTATCATGCTGAAATGGGAGCCCTTTCTCTTTGCTTACAAAGCTTTAATAAGGAGGCAGCTATGAAGTCTGTACTCTAGAAGGCTCATTGCTGGTGGTATGGAAAGTGGGCTAGACAGGGAGCCTGAAAGGAAGGTGAGTGACAAGGGAGTGACCCTGTAGACCTTGAGATGTGCAGAAGCAGTGGGGCCAAAAGGGAGGTAGGACTGACCCAAAGGGCATTTGTGAGTTTGAAGTCAGGCAAAGGAGGGTTTCTGAGATGATTTTCCAGTGTGCAGCGTGGGCATCCAAGTAGGTGTCAGTATAGAGTTCAAGGAATCCAGGAGGAACAGGTCTAAGGGAAGACAGTGACGTTGCTTTTGAACATAATTTGATTTATGGTAGGTGTCTTGAGGAAACAGAAATGTTCAGTGGACAGCTGGAAATATGGGTCAGGGGAGTTGTGGATGGTGAAGAGAGACATTTGAGGTTTGGGTCTACAGTTACTGTGTGGCTCAGTGGTTCTGTTCTGGGCTTTCCATTGGAATTGGTTGGGGAGCCTTAACAAATAGCCGTGGTGTGCCCCATCCTCAGATTTTACTACAGTTGGCCTGGCGCGGGCCCTTGGCCCTGTGTAAGCAGGGCTGAGAATCACAATTGTAGGCCTACAGTGGAAGCCACAGGAAGGGATGAGTGTTGTTCAAGGAGAGGGCTGAGCACACCTTGGCACCCCAACACTTAAGGGGGGTATATGGCGAAAGAGGGCACAGTGAGAAAGTAAGACGAAGGCAGAACAGTAAGAGAAAAAAACCAGAAAAGAGCTCTGTCATAAAATGGATGGATGTGGGCCATTCCAAAGGAGGATGCAGTGGCCAGCACCGCCATGCACTACAGAAGGTCAGGGAGAAATAAGGATTAAGAAATGGCCAGAGAGCCTTCCTGCAGTGATTGATGGTACAAGGCAAAGCGGAGTGGTGTAAGGAGTGAATGAGGAAAGGAGGAGGCGGTAGATGTGGACGGCTCTTTGGGACTGCATGTCTTGTTGTGTGGGAGCCAGGAGTGCTTCTCTGTTAATGAAGGCCTACCCTGTGCCCGCTTGGGGGCTGGGCCCTGGCAGCGGAAAGTCATGTCTAGATCACTCTTCCTGCTCATGAAGAGACAGGGAAATAGTGAATGACAGAACAGATGATGAGCTGAGTTTCATAAGATGAATAACAGTCATTTAAAAACAAAAGGCAGGTGGGTAGAAAGAACAGCAGAGGAGGTGGAGGGTGGCGTCAGTGCCTTGACGGAATATGGGCCTGCGCCTTAGTTGCACGTGAGATGATCCTGGAGACAGTGCCGGGTCATGGAGGATGTGAAGATTAAGTTGGGAAGTTTGACTTGACCCTGTACTTCCTCTCCACTTCTAAGAATGCCTGAAATTAGCATGTTAGGTCACTTTTTAACCTGCTGCTTGTGGGGATAAGAAGGATTTAAAGGGAAGGAACCTGGAAACCACCTGTTCTGAGTCTAGGCACACAAAGACCAGAATAAGATGGGACCTCAGCAGATTAGTATAGTGGTGGGTAATAGAGATGAGAAGGAAAGGGGTGGCTTTAAATCTATTTAGAGGACTAACGAGGCAGGACAGGGAAGTTGATTGCATTAGGGCAAGAAGGTGTGGGATGGGTGAGCAGGAGACTTGGATGACTCTGGATTCTCAAGGTTGGATGGAAGAGAAGAATATGGATCTCTCAGCCAAGAGCCTGAGCATAGAAAAAGAGGCCAGTTTTAAAGATGATGATGATAAGTTTGGTTTTGGATATACTGATTTTGAAATGATTGTATTGGTTGTGGATACTTGAGGAAAGTAGAGAGTAGTTTGTATTTCTTTTTTCCTTTAAGAATCTTAAAACAACATATATATCAAACTCTCCTGTGAAACACAGGAGAGTTGTATCTCTATTTTATAGATGGGGAACCTGAAGAAATTAAAATGCTGACTTTCCAAAAGTATGAAATAGGAAGTGGAACCCAGGTTAGTGAATACTCCAGTTCTGTGTCTTGATTAATTGAGCAATTGCCAAAACTGTGTTTTTCAGCTGTTGGTTGGATGAAAGATGAATTCTTCCCTGTATGATGCTGCACACAGCTTCTGGGCATTTTGGATGGGTGCTGGGCCTCTTTGAGTCCTTGGCAAAATCCATGTGCAAAATTGGATGTGTGGAGTGTGGAGAGGGAAGGAGAGATTCCGTTACTTCTTGGGCCTCACTAGTTCGAACATTCCGTTTCCAGACTTGCAATACCATCATCTCAAAATTGTTCTTTGAAATAACTAAACAATAATTTTCAACCTATAACAGATGATTTGTTTTGTATCCTTTTTTTTCTTCAAGTAGAAAATGGAAAAATTATGTCTGTAGAACACAGTAGACTGGAAATGACTTGTGAGAACTAGTTTTATATTTTCTTAAAACTAATCTTCTCCCTCATAGCAAAGCCTTATGTACTTAAAGTAATTGAATGGACTGCAGGGTATACTGGGAATTGTAGTTTTCCACTTCTTTGTATTCTGAAGATTAATAATCTTGCAGCCCTCTGAGTGGGATAAGGAGAGGATGCTCTCTGACAAATTGTTATCTTGTCTTTCAGAGGTGTGCTTCGGGCAGTGAGTATACCTTCCATGTCTCCCCTGGGCTCTTGGCTTGATTCTAAGTAATGGTAATATATAGGATGGCTTTAAAATTGTTTTTGGCTTATGATATTTTACTTTCCACTAGCTATCTGTAATCTTTTCTTTTAGCCTAGTTTTTAAAAAGTTGTTATTTGTATCAAGGTTATATGTGTAAATGGTTTACAGAGTCCATGCTTGTGTAAGCTGTGCTGTCAGTAACAGTAGGTACTGCCCGCCTTAGCCCATGCCCACGTCCCCAGAGGCGTCCACTTTCAACCCTTGTAGCTGCTCTTTGAGGATACCTTCATGTCTAGAATCACATTCTTACATTGCTCCTTGAAGTTTTAGGCTTTGTCTGTTGCTGTCCCCGCTGGAAGATGATGATTTAGTACTCCCTTCTCACTTGGCCCTCACCACAAGCATGACCCTTTATCCTCTCTCATCCTCCTAGTGTAGACTTGCCGGAATTGTGGTTTGATCAGTCTGGTATTTACATTATGAAGGGTGGGGAAACACTATTCAGAAATGAGCCATGTCATAAACTGTTGTTTTCCTTTTCTACACAGCTCTTTGTTTTTCGTAAATAATTTTTTTTAAATTTTCTATATAAACTTACCATGCACTCCCCTTTAGAATCTCAATCGGTTATAACTGTCTGTCTCTCCTTGTAAGATGTTTAGATCCATCAGTTATGTCATCAGTTTTATCTTCTAGAGGACTTCCTATCCTAGAGATTTCTGGCTTGCTCCAGTCTCTCTGGATTCACTTTCTGCTGATGTTCAACTATTACCCTGGGATTTTCCTTTACTTGGAGTTTCCCTTCACTTTCTTGTGTTGGATCTTTGGTTTCCTGGATTCTGTGTCTTTCTTGTTTTGGTGGAGCCAATCCTTCAGTAGCTTTCTTAAGAATGGTTCAAGAGACCAAATTTTTAAGATCTCACATGTCTGAAAATGTCTTTAAAATAAAAGACATTTTACCCTCATGCATGACTTATAGATTGAGAATGGAATTCTGGAAATCACTTTCCTTCACAATTCTGAAGCACTTGCTCAACTGTCTTAACCACCAGTCTTGCTGTTGTGAAGTTTGAAGCCATTCTTGCTTCTTGTTTCCTAATCCTTTGCATGTGACTCTCTTCCCTCAGCCCCTAATGTTGTAGGACCTTCTTTTGGTCTTTAGTTTTGTCTCAGTCCATTTTAGTTCATTTCCCCACGTACTCTGGCTCAATTATGGAAAAGCTCTTAAGTTTTTTTTATCTCCCTGTTCTCCTTCATTTTTACTCTTCTCTCTTTCTAGAACTCATCATCTCATACTAGACTTTTAACTTTATCTCTTCTTCTATTTTTCATGTCTTTTCCTTTTTGTTCCATTTTCTAGAAAAGTTTTTCATTTCAATTATATTTCTAATTTCCAGGAGCTCTTTCTGTTCCTCTAAGACTGCTTCCCTCCTTCCCTCCTTCCCTCCACCTTCCTCCTTTTTCCTTTTCTTAATTCTTTTTTGTTTTGTTGTAAAAGACTCCTGTTCTTATTTGAGGGTAGATTATTTTTTCTTACCTCTTTGAGATACTGATTGTACTCTGTTTTGCATAGTTTCCTTGTCGTCTAACTTGCCCTTTTCTGTTTGTTTTGGTCCCTATTTTTATGTTAAAGTCTTTCCCCAAGTAATTATTGGTTGCCTGGCCAGTTGTTCATCATAAGAACTACTGTGGGGACCTTGGTGGGCTCCTTAGGGAAATCTGGGACATTCCCACTCCCATCCTGGCTGTATTTAGACCTTTCTTATTGGTCCAGCCTCAGGTTTACCACAGAAAGAGGTCTGTTGGCAAGGTTGATTGTGCTGGGGGATTCTGTGGATACTGCTGTGGTACTTCTGCAGCAGTGGTTCTGAGGAGCCCCTCTTTTGCTCTTCTACGAGGAGGAAATCTCTGGGCATCTGCCAGGGTGAAGGAGGAGCTGTGCTTAGTGGGAGAGTGAGTGCTTCTTAGTCACCCCATCTACCGCCACACTATACTCGGAGGTGTCTGCTGCCACCAATCGCCGAGCCTTTGGATGGTTCTGCCTTGTCAGCTGGGTGTCGGACTTAACCTTTCCAGGTTGGGTAAGTTAGTTACTATTTGTCCATCTGTTTCTAGCTTCCAAAATTTTTGGCTGTTTTTGTTCCTCTTCTTGTGGGTTTGTTTTATAAAAATAAACAAAAAGCAGGCAAGCAAAAAGCAAACAGTACTGCCATTTTTATTACTAGATGTGAGTGCTGAATCTGCTGTCTTTATCCAGAGTCTCTTTAGGTTAAAAATATGTGAGTCATAAAATGAAAACAGTTTGGTTTCGTTTACATTTGTGGGTCTGACTGCTGTTGTGTGCTACTTTATAAATACCTTTGTAATTTATGTTAATATGTTCATGGCTGTGGGTTACTGTCTGTCTAATACATAAACAGAATTGTCACAGACATTAAAATGTAATTAACAGCTACAAGAACTGTCTACACGAGTTCTTTTGAATGGTTTATACTACTTGGAAACGTTGAAAAACTCAGTTGATTTTGCAAGCATCATGGAAGTTACTTCGTTTAAGTGTGATTTAGTGCATTTTATTTTCTGTACAGACATAGGAAAGTTACTTGTGACCACAGTTTTTCCCTGTACATGAATAGCTCCCTTTAACATGGCCTGGCACAGTGCTGGCTTATTATAATGCTATTTGTGTATTTTCCTTGGAGTCTTCTGTGACCTGTCTTTCAGCCATCCATTGCATACTCTGACAGACGGTTTTCATCTTTGACAACCAACAAGAGGTGTACACATGACATATCTGGACCTACTAAAGGGTAGCAAAGAAAATCATATTGCTGGATGTTAAAATCAAAGTTTTAAAGTGGCTTGAGGCTCCTCCATGGAAAAGATGGTGCAAACACCATAGGCAGTTAGGTACTGGCGGCAGTCCTGTGCTGGGAGCCCTGGCCAGAGCTGTGTGGATGGCAGCAATAAGAACCCTCACTGCTGAGGACATAGGAAGAGCCAGGCTGAGTGCCGGAATCCATTTCCTTGGGCATAAACTGAGCTGGGAGAAAGGGATGTTTCCTCCCACAAATAATGTGAGAGGCATGATAAGTACACTGTTTCCTGTGGAAAGCTGACCTAGTGATTGTATTTTATTGGGATATTTGATCCTTTATTTGAATGTTTTTAAAAGTATCTGGGTGGTGTCATTATTAGGAATACCACCTGATTAATTTTTTTTTTCATTTGGTTACATTTGAACGGTATGTGAATGTACTATTTTGAAGTTTTAAAATAACTTTGAAGATACTTTTGGTTTCCTTTAGGCCTGCTTTTCAGGTTAAGAATAAGACAGAGAATATACTTCTGGTGTGACTTTTAAAAAATGTCATTTTACCTTAGAAGTGGTCCGACAGATCTCAAGCTGCTCTTCACATGCCCTGCCCTTTAAATCTCAGGCTGTTCATTGGAGTTCAAAATACAGCTCCTCTACCGATCAAATAAGCTTTCTTTAAAAAGGCAGGTGGAGAAAGCAAATGTTTGTTTCAGAAATAATTTTAATGTCCGAAACGAGTTGCTGTATTCACGTCAGTTATGCACCTTGTCATTGAGCATGGCTGCTGCAGTTCCAAACTGTCCCAGTGCCTTCCTGTCCCTAGCGCTCTTCCTCACAGTGGGGATTGATGGATGGGTCATTTCCATCCTACCTTTCTATGAGGAAAGCCTTGTAGCAGGCTGCCAGGTGAATGCTTGCCTCAGTACCGAGCTGTGCACAAACGTCTGATTCATTATTTTGGATCAGTTTTCCACGTGGTCTTTATTTTGTATTTGTTGAACTATTTAGGTAAAGTGTGAATTATAAAAGAAGCTCAATCATTCTTCTTCCTCCCTGGAAAGAGAATTGAGGAATTGGTGTTTCCTTGGTTGTCATCACTGATATATGTGGGTGCTTCTATTGTATTGTTATCACATGAGGATAAATATTAAGGATTTAAACCTCCTGTGATAAAGAAATGGCTTTAGAAGACAGAAATGCTGAAAGGGTTTATCTTAGTCTGTTCAGGCTGCTATAACAAAAATACCATAAACTGGGTGGCTTATAAAAAGCAGAAATGTATTTCTCACAGTTTTTGAGGCTGGAAGTTTGGGATCAAGATGCTTGGCAGATTGAGTGTCTGGCGAGGGCCTGTTTCCTGGTTCCGGGACTGTGCCATTGGGCTGTGTCCTCCTATGGTGGAAGGGGGTGGCCAGCTGACTGTTCTTCCTAAGGGCTTCAGTACCATTCATGAGGGCTGTGCCCTCATGACCTAGTCACCTCCCGAAGGCCCCACCTTTTAATGCCATCACCTGGAGGGTTTAGATTTCAACATATGAATTTTGGAGGGACACAAATGTTCAGACCATAGCAGATTTAAGACAATACAAAACAAAACAATAGGTATTCTTGTGAAACTACTTAGAACTGTTTTAAATGTTTTTTAGAAATAGGATTTAGAGACAATTTTTGTCAATTTTTAATAACACTTAACGGTACTTTGTTTTGCTAATGTGAAAGAAGAATTCAGCAAGATCATTACAATATAAAAGAAGTGACAGACCAAGTACGAATAGGGTTTATTTGGGTATGTAATTTTAAGTGAGTGAAGGAAGAGGCATTTGATGATTTGTAAAACATTTCTGATTTAAAAAAAAATGAATTTGTTTTTTTTGCCTCTAAAGCGTTAAATTTTCTTGGTCATCAGTTGAAACTTTTGATTTCATTTTAATTGCTATATTGTATGTGCATTGTCTGTATATTTCTTCAAAGGAATTTAAAGATTTGGAAGTCTGTTACCAAGTGTGTGTCAGAAGAGGCCAAATTTTCAGATTTAATACTTTTAGCTGTTTTTTCTAATGACACTTCTTTCGAAGACGAGATTAACAAATTTTTTTTGTCTCTCTGTCATAGGTCATCGTGTTTTTTGGTATAGTTCATTCATCTTCTGTTGCCTCAACATCTGGCCATAAAAGCGAATAATGAATGGTTTTTTGAATTTGAAATTTGCATGTGAATTTTTGGATGAGAGACATTTTTATATAATTTATAAGTAACCATTGGGGACTACATCTGCCTCATAAATATTAGCAAAATTTCACACTGAGATTAATGAGCTTATAAGTTGTTAGTCTGCATATATTTGATTTGCCTGAAAATAGGGTTTTCAGGAAGTCTCAGTGACCTATATTAACTACTTTTTATAAGGGCGAGGACATGGAAAGACTTTATTTTATCATGCTTTTCTTCACCCTTTTAGTAGACTTGCAGGCATGCAAGTGGAAGCTACAGGAATTAATACGGATGTCAGAAAATATGTGAAGAGATGGATTTGTCTAGAGTGAGCTATAAAGTGAATTTCTTCATATCAAATTTTATATGCCCATTGAGATTCTTAAGGAAAAAAAAGAGTGAGCATTCCTGTAGGGAAAAATCGGTTCTGAGAGCAAGTAGTAAAATCACACTTAACAACTTCAGACATCTGTTGAAAATATGTCTTTAAAAATATTTAAAATATCATTTCCAATAATGTTCTAATCCTCATAGTAGCAGGAGAGAGCATTTGATAATTGAGGCATTACTGATCTCCCTGAGTGAGTTCCCTACACACCAGGGAGCAGTGGCTGGGGCAGGGTGGGGGCGGGGAGGGCAAGCAGTTGAGAGGCTGTTCTCTGCCTTTGCCAGGGAGTAGCCATTCCGATGGTCCGGTTTGTTCAGGACTTGCTCTCTTCCTTCCAGTTCTAGCTCCGAAACACCCTGGATTACAGTCTTTGAAGAAGTAGGAGAGCCGGTGGCCGAAGTGCCCACTCATGACCTGGCCTTGCTAGTGGAGGTGGCAACCAGAGAAGCTGGAGAGCGCCTCCTGATCCACAGGGAACTTCAGTAAATCCTTTTGCCTCCCCCCGGTCGTCAGATTGCGTTCATACTGTGGTAGCAGGCCCCGTCTGAGGCCCATCCTGGTGTTGAGAGGCTGGATGCTAGCAGGGAGCTCCAGGAGACGTTCCGCTGGCTGTTTATAACCAGATCCTGAACACAAAGCTTCCAGCCTGGTGCTAGAGGCCAGGGAGACCTGAAAATGTCTCACTTCAGGGCTTAGGGTAACATGGAATAAATATATTTGCCATTGAACAAATTATTTAGGTTAAATTGCCTTCGTTGTCTTTTCTGTATCTATAGTTTAAAAGATTTCCTATGCCTTGGGAGCTGCGGATTGAAGAGCTTGCTTTGAATGAAGTCTTGTCAAATACTGAGTCTGTGTGGTAACTTAGACCTGGTGGGAAAATGTGGATTCTGGATTTCCTGTGAAAATAGAAGTACTTGAAAAGCAATGCTTAAAATGGTAGTGTTAAAAAAAAAAAAAGTCACATATATCCAGCTAAGAGTTGCTAATTCTGTCGTATTGCACATTATAGATATGTTTACATTTTTAAAAAGCTGTGTGACATTGGACTCTAGACTCAGAACTAGAATATTTTACCAAACCTCTTTGTTATTTTGCAGTAATATTTAGTAATGATTCTGTATCCAAAAATGTCCTAATAACATCTAACAAACCATGTTCCTAAAGTCTGTGCATGTTTTGTATTTGGGATTTTTATCATTTTCAAATATCTAGAACGTTTGGATTTCCTAGCATTATGCCTAAAAGAGATTAGTATTTATGTCAGTAAGTTCCGTAACTAGAATCTGAGTGATTTTTTTTGCCTTGTCATTAATCTGAGGAGGTTTGAAACTAAGACTGCTGTCATCGTTTCTCCTTTCTTGTACAGCCTATCTTGCTACGGTTTCTTACATATACCATAGAAGCAACAGGCCAGCCTGTGGTGTAGAAAAGTGAGATTTTTGGAGGGCAGGGATACTGTAGCTTACTTATCTTTTACATTTATCACCTCCTAGCTAGTACAGTGCCTGGCATCCAGTAGGTGATGGACAAATAAATGGAAGGCAGTCATGGAATGCTAAGTGCACCCCATGGAATGTTCTTGTTCACTTATGCTATGGGCAGTCTGAAAAACGGTGCTAGACAGAGTGGAAATCAGATCCCATGGATAACCCTTTTGCACATTTGATAGGGAGTGGTGGAGAAGGCCTGATACAGATGGGGACCTGAGGTTTTCTTGGAGTGATTAAGTTGCTCAAGGTCACCTAATTAATAAGCCACAGGGCCAAGATGGGAATCCTGGACTGACTCCAACACTGTTGCTCCTAATTACTGTTTTATCCTACTTTTAGGACTCTGGAGATGCCACATGGAAAGAAACATTCTGGTTGGCAAGTATCTTCTTACATGCTCTTACTTGCTCCAAGTCTTTGGGACAGCATATGACAGTGGGGGCAGCTGGCACATCTGTGTTGTTCCCCTCCTGCAGGAACAGGGGCTTCTTAGATGGGAGGCTGAGGGCCCATCCCTGTGCAGGTGCATGTCCTGCTTGATGATACCAGGTCCTTCCAGGGCCTCCTGGGACTGGGCTCATTGTAAGTTACAAGAGCATTCACTTCTGGTTTTCCTTCTTGAGGAACCACATTGTGCTTTTTTCCTGGTGGCTTATGTATACTTAATTGAAGACTTGTTTTTCTCTTTCTGTTTTTCTCCATGTTCTTAGATTTAAAAAATAGTAAATGAGTTAATGAATGAATATGTGCATATATGATATTGTACGCTGACATATTGTTGGGAAGTTGGAATAGAGTCTGTGTAGAATAAAATAAAATAGACTGGATTTAAGCAACAGCCGCTTCTCAAGGCGAGTGATCCTGAGCAAGTTACTTAAATCGTCTGAACTACAATTTCTTTTTTATTAAACAAGAATTGGGATTAGTCGATGAGATTTCATGTGTAAAAGCAGGTTGCCTAGGACCTGGCACTTAGTGCTCAATAAATCTCCTTCCTCCATTTCATCTGTTTTTGGAATCATACCTGGTCAGTTTAATCCATTGTTTTTGTTTGTTTGTTTTTTGAGAAGGAGTTTTGCTGTTTTTGCCCAGGCTGGAGTGCAATGGTGCGATCTTGGCTCACTGCGAGCTCCGTCTCCCAGGTTCAAGTGATTCTCCTGCCTCAGCCTGTCGAGTAGCTAGGATTACAGGCGCGCACCACCACGCCCAGTTAATTTTGTATTTTTAGTAGAGATGGGGTTTCGTCATGTTGGCCAGGCTGGTGTTGAACTCCTGACCTCAGGTGATCCGCGCGCCTCAGCCTCCCAAAGTGCTGAGCCACCTCCCAAGGTGCGAGCCACCACTCCTGGCCTAACCCATCGGTTTTCAGTCTGTTTGGTTTATTGGCTTGCTAAGCTTTCTTTAATAATTTCTATTCAGTAGGACAGAGCCTTCCAGGGACCAGAAAAAGGGGAAATAGGTATCTGAGAAATAACAAGGTCTCTTCAGCACCCTTTTCCAACTGCTGCCCCCACGCTGTGGAGTGGATGTTGTTCGTGAGCCTGCTGGCGTGGTCATTGGTCATCCTTCCACATAGGTTGTTTCTTGGTGCTTTGTTTTCCTCCATGCTGTTTTTCCCCTGGAACCCCTGCCCATCGGCCCATCCGTATTTTATGCTGGACACTCCCCTCCTGCTCTGAGGCTACTCCGTGTGCTGAAGACCCCTCTACTCTTCCTTCCATCTTGTGCCAGCCATTCTTACCAGAACTGTCGGACAGCGAGGCAGTGACCACCTGAACAGGCCATTTCATGTTTCTTTCTTTCCCTTCCAGCCTACAAGCACGCCAGCAGCCCCGTGCATGGCTTCTCATGTCTGCTCCTGGCACCTTGCATGATGCCTGACAGATAAACAGAAGGCTCTTAGAGAATACGGGTTGAAGAAAAGGGGAATGGGCACAAATTTTCATATCATATTTAATTACATAAATTAATCACAGGTTAGTTTATGTAATTATGTGATTAATGATTGGAAAGTTCTGGATTAGCCCACTGGATAGAATTTTCTGTCACAATAATTGTGTTCAACTGAAGATTCTGACATTTCATAAGTTCAAAGTGAATAATTTTTATCATACTTTGAGGAGAGGGTAACTAATACTAGTCTTTTATTACTTTAAACTTAAAGCATATTTAGTCACAAATATTTTTGTAAACTTTGTAAAAATTAGTGGTCAATTTTTGAAGGAGAGAACTGGTGATTTACAGGATAAGTGGAAATCTGAATAAATATTACTGAAGATCTGGAATCTACAAATGATCTGCGTTGATGCAGTTGTGTTTCTATGGTTGGCTGCGTGCAGAGCTGTGATACACAGTGTGAATTATTCAGCAAATGCAATGGAGTCTTGTGCAGCAGAGCTTTACTGCAGTACCTGTGTGCTTTGCAGATTCTCCTTCACTTACGTGGGTTTGCCTTCTTGTCTCCTGAAGGATGGCCCGGTCTTCCCCACCTGTGGACAGTCTCAGGCATTGGTAACTTCAGGCGTCTGATGAGTGGCGTCCTTTAGAAGGCTCTCTCCTGGATCTGTGCCCCCAGCCCAACCTGTCTCTCAGCTGCGGGCCAGCCTTGTCAGCACCCGCCAAAGCATTTCTCAGATACCCACGGCCTCCTCAGAAACAGCTCTTCCTCCATCTGCTTTGCCCACATCTTCTCTTAATGGAACCATAGTATCCTCAGGCCTGTGGTGGCAGTGCCAAAGAGTCATATTGGATTTTGCCCTTTTTTCCTGTACTGACTAATTTCTTATGTTTAGGTTTTTTGTTTGTTTGTTTTATTTTGTTTAAACAGGGTCTCACTCTGTCACCAGGCTGGAGTGTAGTGTTTCACGGCTCACTGCAGCCTCAACCTCCTGGGCTCATTCCTGCCTCAGCCTTTCAGGTAGCTGGGACAATAGATGTGCGCCACCACACCTGGCTAATTTTTAAATTTTTGGTAGAGACAGGATCTACCTGTGTTACCCAGGCTGCTGTCAAACTCCTGGTAGGCTCAAGCTATCCAGCCACTTCAGCCTCTCAAAGTGCTGGGATTACAGGTGTGAGCCACTGCGCTCAGCCATTTAGTTTGTTTTAATATCCTGGAGTAGGGGCCCTGACTCTCCTGATTCCCCTTCTCACTGACTATCAGCTGTATGCTGTGGGAATCTCTCACCTGTAGAGTGAAGTTGGTAAGAGTGAGTTCAACACCAAGGCTCAAGGCCTGGCATGCATGGTGTTTGTTACACATTTCCCCCAAACTAAAAATCAGCAGGTGCATCTGCAGTCCCCTTTTCAGTGTGGCCTCTCTTTTGCATGGGTCCTCTCTGTGCTGGCTCCAGGCCCGTCCCTTTCTGACTATGTCCTTCATTCCTCTTACACAAACCCCGCCTTCTTAAATAGGTCCCACATTTTCATGGTGCCATTATTTGTGACTTGGAAGTCCTGATCTCTTTCCCTGTATCTCTGTCTGGTACAACCCTGGCTACTCCTCAAAACTCCATTCCATTCTCCTTCGTGGAGCTTTAATCCATTTCCAGAACGTGCGTAGTGCCTTAAGCGTATCTCTTTATGGTCGTGGCATATTGAATCTTGACTTATGGTAATTGGAATATGGGTCCTTTGCTCCTTTAAGGCCCTTAAGAGCAGGAGCCACATCTGGATTTTATCGCTGTGGCACAAAGTGGAATAGCCCACCCATAGTAACTGATCAGGTAAATATTTGACTTTAGTTAACATATAGGATCTACTTTTACTTGCTAAATTTTACAGTATTCTTTGAAAGACCATCTCTAAATGGCCTATTTGAGTATATAGATTAAGAGTAGTGTCTAGATATATATTTGAGGCTGATGGCCATTCATTTATTCATTGTTCCCGCATTCCTTCACTAAACGAGCACTACACCATCACACTGCCATATGTTGTGTAGCAGGAACTCAGTGTATGGAAGGAAAGTCATTCTTTAGCTTCATAGGAAATGGTTGTGGTTGTGCATTGCATGATCAACTTTCAGAGCTTTACAAATCACTCATTTGAGTACCATAAGCTTTCTTCATATCTGCATCCATTTTCCAGTCCAGTTAGTGACATCTATATTTTCTTCCTTAAAAATGTATGGAACACTTTGCCATTTATTCAAAATTAATTGCATTTGTAATGGTCAATGTTAAAAGCCAGGTGAGGTGAGAAAGTTTTCATTGACCAGCTGTATTCGATTCTGGATTAATGTTTTTGATTATTTTTATTTCACACTCTAGATTTTAGCATGAGACTGATAGAACCTTAAAATTATCACAGTCTTTCTCCCTGCCAGCTTCTCCTCACAAAATAAAGATGCGAGTCTCTGTTCAGATTTAAACAGTTCATGCCTTTTCAGTGAGCTGCTGTTTAAAATGAGTTCCTCAGGAAAGAAGTGGCAAAGAAAGCTGCGCGTATTAAGTATGTTTTCTTTGTCTTAATAAAAGGATGGCTTACTGCCGTGTTGTGCTGTTGTTTAATATTATAGAGGTTTTACTGCAACTCTCTTGGTGATTACAAGAGGGCTACGTTTTGGCTAACAAATGTAGTAAATGTGATGAAAATCCCCTGTGTTGTACATTTCTTTGAATAACATGTTTATATAACGTGCTAAATACTTCTGTTAAAGAACTGCTTTCCTGAAATTGCAAATTCCATTCCAGATTTTAGTGTTACTGAAGTGTACTGTTGAATATTCCAAATTATATGGGTATTTTTAAAGCATCTTTAAAATTTGTCTGCATACACTGTCCTTTTTGAAGTTGGGTCTCTGAAAAAATTTAGAGTTGTATCTCTGGATGATAGTGTTGACTTTCCCGTGGTACCTACCAGGCACTGAACAGAATTATTTAAAGAAATTTGCCAAAGCTTTATATTTTGGAGTAGATAGCACTGATGTGACTGTGTGAATAAATCACATGCACAGATTAATAAGTTTGTATTAATGTTTGTAAGATGATATTGTGGTGGTGTTCTCAGTGAACTGTGGGCCTCTTTCCTCAGCCTCACCCATCCGGCCCTGTGGATTTTAGGTTGAGTCCTGGGTTTGCCTTGTGGACTTGGGCCTCGATATCTGTGTAGGCTCAGCTGTCTCGTCCTGGTTCCAGTGGCTCTACCCTGGACCACGGCCCACTCAGCCCGAGACTCACTGCTGATGCCGGCTGGGCATGTCCACCTGGGGGCGCCTCCAGCATCCCAGTTCCGAGTATACTCATGGTGTTTCTTTTCCCCAGTCCACCGTTTGCCCCCATAAAAACATGGCACTGCTCAATCTCTTAAGTTGCCCGCCTGGGAAGTTATTATCCTTGGTGTTTTTCCCTCACTACCCTCCTCCACTTGATCACTAATTCCTGAAGACTGTCCCAGACACTTTCTGTGTGCCCCGTCTTCATAGCCTTTACCCAAGTTGAGGCTGTTGCCGTCACTGGCGTGGGCAGTTGCTTTAGCCCCTCAACCAGTGTATCTGCCAGTTATCGCCCTCCTACTTCCAGATCATTCTCACTCTGAGGTCCACAGACCCCTGAGTGTTCACAGATGGACCTCAGGATGCTGCGAATCCTTTGGAATTAAATATTAATTTTTTTTGTTGTTGTTGTTTGTTTGTTTTTGAGATGGAGTCTTGCTTTGTTGCCAGGCTGGAGTGCAGTGGCGTGATCTCGGCTCACTGCAACCTCTGCCTCGCAGGTTCAAGCGATTCTCCTGCCTCAGCCTCCCGGAAATTAAATATTAAGATTTCTATATATGTGTGTAGATGCATTTTTCTGGCCAATATACTCTCAAAGGTTCTATGAATCCCGAATGTTTAGCAACCACTTATTATTTATTCTTTCACAAAGAGCTTTCACAGTAATCTTGTTAAAATAAAATGAAAATCTGATATGTTATTCTCCTGCTTAAAGTTCTTTAGTGAATATCTGTTGTGAAATAAAATCCAAACTTGTGAGTCTGATGGCATGACCCTTCTGGACTCCTGTCTTCCTGTTCACCCCTATTGCTCTCAGCTCTCCAGCCTGGATCTAAGCACCACTTTACTGAGATGCTTGCAGTTCGAGATTGCATGGTGCTGTGTTTCACTCTGCACTGTGCTGTACTGTTGCCTGTGGACCCGCACTCCTTCCCCTCTCCTGTTTCCTTCAGGTGTCTCTTTCTCCGTGCTTCTTCCTTGCCTGCTGGCTCCACCTACATTTATTCAACGTCTACTTCAATAACGTGTCTCCCTATATTAAAATTACCTGTAGCTATTGAATGTGTCCCCTGCTGAACTTGTGACCCTCATGAGTATTTTCAGAGTCTGGCACATAAGGTCTCAATGAATGCTAAAAGAAGGAACACATTGGAGCTGCCGGCCTCTGAAAGTTGGGTCCATGCCACCTGTAGGCCTTCTTGCATAACCATATTTATCCTTTTTTTTTTTTTTTAAGTGAGACAGAGTCTCGCTCTGTCACCCAGGCTGAAGTGCAGTGGTGCCATCTTGGCTCACTGCAACCTCTGCTGCTCGGGTTCAAGCACTTCTCGTGCCCCAGCCTCCTGAGTATCTGGGACTACAGGCGTGTGCCTCCATACCTAGCTAATTTTTTTTTTTGTATTTTTAGTAGAGACACGGTTTTGCCATGTTGGCCAGGCTGGTCTCGAACTCCTGACCACAAGTAATCCACCTGCCTCAGCCTCCCAAAGTGTTGGGATTACAGGCGTGAACCACCGCGTCTGGCCCATGTTTATCCTTGACTTTTGATTAGTTACGTAAGATCTTTTGAAGGGCTTCTCTCACTCTACATACTTGATCAGGCGGTTGCCCTTCCTCATGCCTCTGCCAGCTGGGCGTCACGTTCTGCCTTCTGTTTTTGCTTTGTGGTGCCACACATTTTGAGGCTCTCCTTTAGTTTCTCCACTTATCTGGCTACCATTTCAAGGTACCATTTTACCTTGTGTCAGCGAGGATTCTTAGGTGTAAGCGATGAAGACCGAGTCTAGCCAATTCAAGCAGAAAAGGAATTGACAGGCTGTTGGGAAGCTCACAGAATTGCCAGAAGGGCAGGAACAAGGGAGACCACACCATGAGGATGCTGCAAAAACAGGTCACAAGTACAGAGAAGACCTGAGCATGCCAGACACAACTTGTACCTCCATATCGCCCCACTGGCATCCTGGTGGCAGACACATGTGCACACACCTGAAATTGGGTATTGCTGTGTGTACTGCAAGGAGAAGTTCCTCCTCTCCTTGTTTCTTTGTATTACTGGCTAATGAGTCAAAGACCAGGGCATGTGCATCTGATTGGCTGGGTCAATAATCTAGCTGCCTGTAACTCCAGTTACTCTAGTTTCTAGTTTGGGAAAGCAAGTAAGTGTTTGGCCTTTCCAGCCTCTCTTTTGGGAAGTGGAGTCTGCCTCCTATCAGGCTCATAATAAGGTGAGGAGTTACCCAAATCCCAGAAGAGGGTTCATAGCTTGGGCAGCCAAATGGTTGGACAGGTGGTCGCTACATTGCTGCTTTAATGCTTGCAATTGCACTGGGCTTGCTTTAGGAAGTGTTTGTTGGTAAGAGAATTGTCATCATCATGGGTTTGTTTGCATCGTGATTGACCATTTAGGAAGTGTTTTTGCATCAGCATTTCATTGAGTGAGGTGGAGGAAGTATTGTAGTGCCATTTTGTAAGGAGGAGGTAAGGAAACTGCTGGACAAAGAGGTAAAGCAGTCTGATGTAGGTAGGACAGTTAGCTGTTGAGGGCGGAACTACAGCTTCTGACTCCAGTGCCCATGGAGGCTCTCCTCCGCACCAGCCTATCCCGGCTGTGCCCTGTGCATTGCTGCAAGGGGCCAGGGAGGAGTGTTCGCATCATACCCACGCACTCGGAGCCTCTTCCAAAGGACTGAGATGTGTACTAGGGTATCTGGTTCTGCGAGGGCTAATTTGGCATTTTGTATTCTTGTTCTGTCTACTTGTGTTGTTTAATGTTGAACATCTCTCTGGTTGACTGAAGCCATATGTCATTCAAATGGAACCTGTGCTTTGGCGTTGGCCTGACAATCACTCAGCTGTGGAGTACAGCAATAAAAATTAGGAAAACTGTATCTGTTCATTAGACCAGTGGAATTTACAATCACTTTTGTGGCTGTGCCCCACAGCTCTACACTCTGGCAAATGAGAGTATCGTAAATTAAGCCTTTGCCCTTTTTTCCCTCTGTGAATTGCATATTTGTTTCACACTCGCAAATTGCTGTAGAAGCCAGATAGATGAGCACTTTAAAAGATTACAACAATGGAAAATGTGTTTTGGGAATGAAGTGCCTCAAAACAAGTACTGTAAGAGGTATTCTTTTTCATATAATGCTAAACACTTCTGCAAACCCTTAAGAATTTTATTTTAGAAGTATCGGGTAGCTTTTCTGTTACAGGAAGCAGAGGGTTTATATCATTGTTTTTGTAAAGTCAACTCTTGCTGGGAGTTAAGATATAAACATATGACACATGTGTATATATGTGCAGCGTGCGCATATGTGTGTGTGTAAGCTTAGCCTTCCTGTGTTTTAGACTAGTGATCTTTCACATACAGCAGGAAAGCTAAGAGTCAACTCATTCATGATATTGGGAGAAAAGCAAAGCAAAAACTGCAACAAAATCTCAAACCCTTTCTGCAGCAGCAGATGGCAAACAGTGATCAGAGGAGAAGGACCCTTCCAGCATTAGAAGATTTCCAAAGGCTGTTCCAGTAGGGGCTGTGGGCTTCTGGGAGCCCAGATGCCCCCTGATGGTATATTTGAGTTGTGAGGTGGAGGCCAGGTGGCAAGAGACTGCAGGCCAATGTCAATGAAAAGCCTGGGAGGAAAAAGAGATTTCTGGGAGAGGGAGACATCTTAGTGTGAGCAAATGACCAGTCGTTTAGTAGAGCGGGTCAAAGGAAAAGAAGGATGTGATAAGAGAGAGAAGGGAGGAGCTAGAAAATGGAATGCTGGTAGTGAAAGGAGAGAGAAAGAAAAATAGCGAGAATGTTTCATGATTGTGTTAGAGGCAAAAGCTTACTACAAGGCATTTCTAAGATAGTAGATAAGATGATGTAGTGTTTAAAGTGTCAAACTTAAGGCTCTTTATAGAGTAGGAAACAGTTATTTAGATTTATTGTGTAAGTTTTGCATAAGACAAATGCACATCAGCCAGGCACAGTGGCTCACGCCTGTAATCCCAGCACTTTGGGAGGCCGAGGCTGGCAGATTAGCTGAGGTCAAGGAGTTCGAGAACAGCCTGGACAACATGGCGAAACCCCGTCTCTACTAAAAATACAAAGATTAGCTGGGCGTGGTGGCGCATGCCTGTAATCCCAGCTACTTGGGAGGCTGAGGCAAGAGTTTCAGTTGAACCCCGGGAGGCGGAGGTTTCAGTGAGCCAAGATCGTGCAACTGCACTCCAGCCTGGGCCACGGAGCGAGACTCTGTCTCAAAAAAAAAAAAAAAAAAAAAAAAAGAAAAGAAAAGAAAAACACACATTGATGGCTTTTGGTGGATGTTAGTTATTAAGCTTTTAGTATTTTTAAAAATCCTTGTTAGTTTTGTATAGCGAACAGAAATTTTAAATTGAAAACTGCATAGTCATTTTTTCGTGTTTCTTGTGTAATCCATGTTCTCAGACTAGCATAATTTATAAGCACTTTTGTGGCTGTAAAGTAGAGAAAAAGGCTAAAGAGAAGGGTTTAGAATTCTGTACTGGTCTTGTTAGCTTGATAGTAGAGGTTAGAAGGGTATTTAAAATGCACTGACAGTGACAGCGTGTTGCCTGGGGCCTGCAGGAGTTTCGAGAGAGCCCTGCCAGGTGAGTTGGCTCAAGTTAGGTCTTCTCCTTCTCCCTGGGTGGGGCCTGCATGGCTGGGAACAGCCTCTCTGGGAGCCACTCTTGGAACCTGAGAAAGCTGATTTCTGTTAATTACGGCTCACTCAGGCAGTCACAATTTGGTACTAGGAGAGCCAGAAGTTGCTTTTCTGGACCCAAATAGGGTTTAGTATATGGTATTTGAAATTTTAGATGTACCAGATTTGAAATTCTGGCATGTTGTATTTGAAGAAATTGCATAATTTCTACTAGTTTTTGTTTTCAAAGCTTTGGAAAATAGACTCCTGCTTATACTGTTTTAAAAATATATGTATGTATACAATGTATGCACACATCTATGTATATATATAGTGTCACATGTAATACCTTTAGGTTCTCTCTAAATGTCTGCACAAATGGCATATTGTCTTCGGTTTTGCATCATTCCTTCTCAGAGCCTGAGGACTGCACGGGTTCCCATACCTCAATACTGGGCTACTTTCAACACCTGTGGTTGGAATTTTAGTCTTTAGTGATACATACTGGTGGATCTCCAGTGTTCCTGTCCCCATTGTGGGGAAGTAGTTATAGCAATAATTCCAAATGGTAGATATTCCTTAAAAATTGCCTCACGGTTTGGGGCTACAGTATTCGATTTGGGGTGGCGGCAAGTTTAACTTCCTCCCCATGGCTTATTTGGGTTAATAAGGCGAAGATGTGTTCTTGACTAATGTGAGGAGGCATCCTGAAGGCTAGTGTAGCATTGGGGGAAGCCCTAATGCTTAAGTATGCACAGTTGATATTTGAGAACTAGAACTCATTTACTTGGGTAGTAACATACATACTTCTGCTTTAAAATAAAATGTACTAATTTATTTCAGAGTCAAGCAATCATACAGCCAGTATTTTTTTAAGCATCTGCTGTATGCCTAGCATGGCCCTGGGAATTAATAAAATTCTGCCCCATCACTGCTCATCCTGTCCTGAATGATTCCTCTTTCACTTGTGTGTGCCTTTCTTCCCCAGCTGGGTTGCAGCTGTTCAACAGATCTTACTCTCGTTTCTCTTCTCTGCTAGTTGAAAGGGAGTCCTCCCTCTCAGCCTTGGTCCCGGTGGAGCAGCAATTCCCATGTTCTGGGACCCATTTCCGCCCAGCTCCTCGGGCAGAGTTGGCCAGCCTGCCTCTCTGCTGTGCTTCTTTGATGCCACTCAGAATCTCCCTGTTTGCCCATGGGCTCCCTCTCTTCTGCTAGGGGCTGTTTCTGTTCAGAGATTCTGTCTTATTCATATTTGTACCATCTACAGGGCCTGGGATGATTCTGTGGACACCTAATCATTGCACAATAAAGTATCAGTCAACACATGTGAATAATGGAAAATATAGAGGTGTTTGAAATCCATTTGGGAAAACAAAGCGTAGCTACAGATACCAACTATAAGGGTGCCTTGCCTTGCCTTTTTCTTTCATTGCTGTGGTCTCTTTCAATCAGGAGACCAGAAATATAGCACGGTTCCCATCACACACTGGCCACATACTCTTAGACATTTTTCTGTGAAAGGATACTGATTCTATACTTTTTCGTAGGATTGTTATGGAGGTAAATGAGATCGTCTGTGTGAAAATAGTTTAAAACGTTTAAAAGTGCTTTGTATAACGTCTTGCTATTGTCGTGAGTGCTAGTTTTGGGTGAGGGAAGGTGATATCAGTGACAACATTTTATAATGAGGTCTGTTCGGTAGTTATTTTGTAAATCATTTTGTAGTACACAGAGCTGATTAGCTTTATACTGTATTTTTGTGGCTAGGGGCTTTTATGTTGAGGCCTCAGGATAGAGAACAAAGTAAGGTTATGATAAAATCTTACACGGGGAACCCGAAAAGAGGGAGAGTTCGCTGTCTTAATTTCTGCATTTTCTAAGGGTAGAGCCTGAATTAACGCAACTGCCTTAGGTTTCTTCTGGCCTCCCTGGGAGTTATAGTCAAGGAGTGTTTGTGAGGCGCCTTTAGGCTCCCCATACCGACAGCATCTTACTTCGGGGCTCTCTCCCTGCATCAAATCTTCCTCGTCAGCTTGCAGATTCTCAATTATATGTTAACCGTCTTTATTCTTGGTAGCATTATTGTAAATTTGGGGTAGTAGTTATAATTTCTTCTAATTGTTTCTCCCAGAGCTATTGTTTGCCTAATATTCATATAAACCTGGCAAAGAGTTCATTGCTAGGGGGATTCCCAAGTTACTCCAGGGACTTGGTGATCTGAGAGCTCCCACAGTTGGGGTCCTCCACTCTGGACAAATAGATTGCCTTGTCTTCGTGACAATTTACTTTTCTTCTTTGGGGATCTGTGTGGAAAGTTAAAATAAGTCATAGCCCTTCCTCTCCTTGCTTTTCTTTACTTTTCTGAGCTTTACTTCCTTCTCCTCTGGACGTGCTGCCTCTGAACGCCATGTCTTCCATGCTTTCCTCTCCAGCGTGAGCCTGACACACATCAGCCCCAGCACTCGGCCCACGCTCCCCACAGCATGATCTCACTCTCCGATCCTCACCTCGGGACTGTCACCTCGTCTCACTCCAGCCCCATCTCTTCACCTTTCCTTGCTTTGACTCTTGACTTCTTCTGAGAGTTGCCGGCTCCTCTGAGTGGCAGGTGCTGGAGGTGCTGGAGGTAAGCTGTTACCTGTTCTGCTGGTGTTTGCCTTCCTCCTGTGCAGGTGTTTCCTGTTAACCTGCCCTGGCAGTTCAGCCTACTCAGACCAGCAGTAAGTTCTCTTTCTCTGGCAATGGCATTTTGTATCAACAACAGCTGTAGGTCAGGGAAGAGGCATTTCAGGAGCCAGAATCGCGGGACCCTCATTTATTCTGATAAAGTATCACTTGGAACTGTTTTCTTTGAGATTCTCTGGGAAAAAAAATATCGTGCCCTAATGCAGTGTTTTCTAAACTGCTGATTATGACTCATTAATGGGAGCAAGAAAGTAATGTATTAGACTGCAACTAGAAATGTTTTTAATGGAAGGAATTTGATGTAAATAGTAGAAGATACAAATGTAGCACATACAGCAAGTGTCCTCTGTGTTCAAGGTTTTGACATAAAATATGTTTCTTCCTCCGAGTTGGCGTCAAAACATTTGACAGCCATTACTCTAATTAACTTTCAGTATTTTTTAAGCTCCTTTGATTCCCCTCTCCCTTTTTCCTTCTAATGATAATTTAAGAATTTTTTTTTTTTTTGTAGTTCAGATAAAGTAGATTTAGAACATGGTCTATTTTCAGGACAACCTGATGAAAAACTGAAACCATAGCTAAGTGATTTGCCAGTTGCACGGCAGGTCTTCTCTATTTCATGCAGGTCTTTGCCTCCTAAGCAGTGCGCCTTCCCAGTAAAGCTCCAGCAGATAAGGGTAAGGTGGCCACCTGGAGGGCCTTCTGTAGATGGGCGTTCCATCTGGGAGGATTAGGAGGTGTAAGGATGGAGTGCCCAAACTCCAGCAGTTGGTTTTTCCTGGATGCTGTGTGTGGGCTAATCATAGTCCGCTAAGGAGGTGGCTGCCATGTTTCTAGGATTATTAGGCTACCACTAGTTTGGGGAGTGAAGAGCAATGGAAAAAGGTTCTGAGATTCAGGAACCACCGAATGCCCAGATACTAGTGTTGCTAATTCTTTTTTCTGGCAGTAAGAAATAGCTGTAGGTTTTAAATGATTGTGAGTGATTATTGAATGTAGTAGCCCTGGTCAGAAAATATTATCATTTCCCCCCAGTTCCTTATACCTTGTCTTGAGCTCGGGGAAGTCCTTCCGGACTACAGTGTTGCTGCTGGGATAAAGTTTCATTGTTCTTGTAAGAAACATTTTTGAAAGGAAACTAAATATGTCAAATGAATAGTTGGAAATCGTGTTTCCCTATGACATATACAGTGTATCTTTTAAATTTAAAGGATTTATTAAAGTGAAAATCATTGTAGGATACTGTTTGAAACCTGGCTTTACCTTCTAATGGTAATATAGCTAAAATAAAGTAAAATTGGAATATGATCTAATTTCAGAACTAAAATATTTTAGCCCAGTTATCCTTATATGTCACTGGATTTTGGAGGGTTCTGTCTTAAGACAGGTATTTGTACCAGTTAATGTCCAAAACAGTGAAATGCATTCACTGAAGTCTATTGACTTAATTTCAGAGGTGCTTAGAATGGACAATCAGAATACATCCATGTTGAAGTATTGGTTTGAGGTGGGTAAGTATCATTTTATGATTATTTATTGAGTTTCAAAATGTATAGTTTAGAATGCCTAATTTTAATGATTTGTAAATATAAAATGAGGAGGCAATGGAAAGAAGTGAGACATTTATTTTGCTGAAAATTCTACCTTCAGTAAGTCCTCCTCCCTTTCCCCTGCCTGCCCTTGGGTGTCTTTCTGTTACTGATTTTAAAATGTCAACATCCTATATTTTTTTCTGACCAATCTTTTGGGTCTACTTGGTACATGTTCCACCTGATGAAATTTTAAAAGTTGCAGATTGTTCTTCTCAAGGGAAATAACTGAATTATTTTCTTTTTGTATGAACATTTACTTTGAAATATGTTGATATTTCAAGTACTTTGATACTTTATCCAAAGCATCACTTCTTCATATTGCCACAACTTTAAAATGGAGTTCCTGTTTCTTGCCCAGTATCACAAGTTTATCATGTAAGTTAAGATTATGTGCTAAACGACTCACAACGAAGCCTCCCCTTCCCACTTGTGCCTAGAACTTACAGTGTCTGTGTTGGTAGAAATTTTGTATCCTAATATTGTACAGGTTGAGTATCCCTCATCTGAAAATCCAAAATTAGAAATGTGCCAAAATCCTAAACTTTTTTTGAGTACTGATGTGATGCTCAGAGGAGATGCTTATTGGAGCATCCAAGATTTTGGATTTTTGGGTTAGGGATGCTCAACCAGCAATTATGTAATGCAGATATCTCAAAGTTTGAAAAAGCTTGAAATCCAAGACACTTCTGATCCCAAGCATTTCAGATAAGGGACATTCTACCCATACTTTCTAAATTAATCTCAACTACACAGATTTTACAATTTTAGTGTTGCTGTTATTGTTTGTTTGTTTTGAATTTTGTTCTTGTCGCCCAGGCTGGAGTGCAATGGTGTGATCTCAGCTCACTGCAACCTCCGCCTCCTGGGTTTAAGTGATTCTCTTGCCTCAGCCTCTGGAGTAGCTGGGATTCCAGGCACCTGCCACCATGCCTGGCTAACAATTTTAGTTTTTAAAACTTAAAGAAATGTGTGTGCATTTCTCATTTACAGGCTTCCTTCCTCTATTCAGCTTCTTTTCCCACCCCTGCTGGCTCTCTTGTATCCTCTGGGCTCCCCATGCCTTACCCCGTACTGCTCTCCTGGGACACAGCATGACCTCCAAAGTGTCCTTGCCTCTCTTGTCCCAGTCTGAGTGGCTGTTCGCTTCCTCCACCTTTCACTTCCGTTTAATGACTGAGCCTCGTGGGAGAGTGGAGTGAGCACTTCCGTTTGTGACTACTGGGTGAAATTATGCAGGTTTCCTAGCCCTTGACCGTAACAAGGACAGAGTTGAACCAGTGGCCATTCAAAGTCTTTTCCAGTTCCGGAAGTGTATGATAAAGTAGTTCTTAATAATGTGTAACTGTGCCGAGCCTTCCAAGGAGGAAGGGAATGGATACATATTTTTTCATTTAAAACAATAGCTCATTGATCCAGCAATATGTGGACTGTGTACTGGATATATTTTTGAGCATCTCCTCTTCCCTTCCCTTTACACCAACTCAAACTATGATCCAGGGAACAAGCTGCAAGGAGTTAGTTTTTGAACCACTGATAATGCTTTTGTGTTCCACTGACCCTACCTTTGTACATGGAATTCAGGGGAGGAATCATTGCTTTGTGAAATGGTGGGCTGGTGGTAGCAGCATCTTCGAATGTAGAAAGATTTATTTATTTATAAACCCACTCCTCATTTGTTATGAGAACATTCTGAAACTCAGGAAGGCGACAGAAGACTCATGCTCATTTGAAGCCTGTCCTGTCCTAGGTAATAGGGACAAAACCCCCAGCCTCTTCACTGTCTGTGTCAGTGTGCAGCCTCCTCTCGGGAGAGCAGTGGGTGCCAGTAACGTACCAATGCTGGCTCTTCCCACGGGACTGTCTGTTCATGGATTCTGCAGTTGACACGATTCCCAAAGTCTCAGAGGAAGAAATTTAAGAGCCAAGTTGGGTCTTGGACAGTCTGTGGAGAAGTTGGACCCTTGCATGATTACCATTGCTATTACTTTTCTCCATTGCTATGTTTTTCACCATATACATCATTTAAATTTAGGGGTAGATAGATTAATGAGTACATTTTCTCCCTGAAAAGTATCTTCATGGAACACTTAGACTGTATCTTTTTAAAGGATGATGCTTTAAATTAATGCAGTTTTTGAAATTTTCATTTTTGATGGGCTTGGCATTTTCTTCTGTTTTCATCAGCTTAGTTACAAAAATCATTTTGAGGAGGGCCAGAAGAGAAAAAGGATATAGGAAGGCTGTGGAGCACCCACCCTCCTGCACCCTCAGAGAGTGGGCTTTTGACTCGTGGTAACAATGCAACCGCATAATCTCACCTCACCCCCAATTCTTTCATTTGAAAAAAAAAGAAGAAACAATTTCAAAGGCTGTATTTAAAACCTACACACGAATGAGTAATTTATATGCATTTATCATGCAAGTATACGATCCCCAGGGTGGAAAGTGGCCTGCAGTGAATGGTCTCGCTCCTCCTGTTCCCCTACAAGGCTCCCCTTCCAAATTGGAAGATACCAGTTGCTTGTCTTTTTGTTGACTCTTTTAAAATTCTAGTCCTCTTCTGGTAAATCCTATTTTCTGTACCCTGTCCCCACCCCATAGTTATCTCAAAGAGAACAGTCTTTTCAATCAAGCATTCACTGCACATGTCCCAGTCATGCGGTTACAAAGTTGACATTGCAGCCTCAGCAAAGGTTATCTCTTTAAAATTTTCTGAAATTCCCCTTTGGCACATTCATTTTGGCAGCTGGGTTTATATAGGAAAGTGGTAAAGCTCTTGGCTCCTCTTTTTGTGCTTTATAAAAATAGAAATCTCTGGCCAGAAGGGCAGATAAGCAAGAAGCTCCTCTGTAATTCCCATCACTTCTGCTTCCCGAGTGTTTTCTGTTTTACACTGTAGTAAATGGTGTCCTCACCATGTGCTTGTGGACCAAGTGGGTGGTTTTTAGAAACACGAACATACTGTAGCCTGACACTTATTTTAAAGTCTTATTAGAAAACCCTGCTGTTCTAACATGTGTGTGAAGTACTGTTAGACTGTGTTGACTTTTGATTTTGTAATCCTTTTGCATTAAAAACAATGGAAAATCTCAAAGATGACATTCACGAATTCAAAATTACCAGTTACAGTCTGGGCAATAATATAACAAGAAAGAGGGAAAATCCAAATTGCTTTGTAGTGAGATGTACTCATTACTAAATAAATGATACCACGAGTGTGCTTTTCCTGGGACAGCATTTTTGGGATGGAAACAACCAAATCCCCGTGAGGCAAGGCAGCTCAGGCCTTTTTATTTTCTAGGAAAGTGTTGCTTCTGTGAGCAGAATTGACCCGTTCGTTACTATAGATTACCTCCTGAGCCCTTCATTTCTTTCCACGTATCCTATGACCTTCACAGGAATAGAGTTTTACGAAGTCATGTTGATGCATTTCCATAGTTATGAGTCTCGCATTTAAAAATGACTGTATATTTGGTATGGAAAATACTTATTTTTTAATTTTGTTTTAAATGCAAATATTGATACCCTAGGTGTCAAAGCTTCCACATTA